>NC_000021.9:5677596-5796009 GCF_000001405.40 Homo sapiens | reverse complement strand
GATCTCTCCTGGATTACGTTTCCGGGCCCGAGACACCCTCCCAGACAATCCCCGCAGCTCTTCAACCAGTGTCCCTGGGGAAAAGATGATCAGTTCTCAGAAAACATTCAGACAGGCAAGAACATGCGCTCACGTAAGCACATGACAAGTATACAACTTTATATGTGATAGTGAGCTTTCTTTTGCAAAATGTCTTCGTGATGCATTTCACTACATAGTATTGTTGAAAACATCAAATTATAGGAGTGAGCACAGTGGCTCAAGCCTGTAATCCCAGGACTTCTGAAGACCAAGGTGGGAGGCTGGATAGAGGACAGGAGTTTGAGACTAACCTGGGCAACACATCGAGAGAGATTACCACTACTTAAAAATATTGCCCAGCATTGTGGCACATGCCTATATTTCCAGCTACTCAGGAAGCTGAGGCAGGAGGATTGCTTAAGCCCAGGATTCAACGTTGCAGTGAGTGAGCTGTGAACAGGCGACCAGAGTTTTTTTGTTCTCTACAGCTTACATTTTCAATAACGGTTGCCGCTAGTTGTCGCCCAAAGACAACTAAAACACGTGTCATCCTGGAATACGTGGGATCCCTGATGGAGGGGTGGGTGAGGAAGTAGGAGGGGACGGAGGCACACGGAGTCGCCCATTTTCTCATGATTCCCGTTGGACTACTTTTCTGGGTGCAGAGCATCCTCCCAGAAAGTCCCCAAAACCATTCAACCAGAGCTCCTGAAAAAAACAGTCGCACTCTCTGCCCATCGGATCATCCGGAATTTCCATTTATCCATTGAGAAGAATGCTCCATTGGAGTTTGGCGCAGGTTACGGTTACAGGCAGGGGCTGCCTCAGACAGAAGTCTAGTCTACAGAGTTTCACAGTAGACCCTAGGTTCAATCTCTCCCAAACTCAGAGTAGCAATATCTGTCACAGTAGAATGAAGTGCATGAAATGCGTGCTCCGAAGAAAGCGTGTTTCACACAGATGATTTGCACACTTATTCTTGTCCCTAGGCCAGTTGTTTCTTCCAAAATACCCATTACTCAATCGTTCACCCTCTCGTGAACCACTTAGGAATCTTGTTCTATGAATCCTGGAGCTTCAATATTTGACATCTTCAGAAGAACATGAATGCTATCCTAGCCTGGTAGCAATAAGGTACCATTTCTCAGAAAACACGCACCTATGCACACAAGCAAGCATGTATACACACATGCCCGCATCATATCTATACAATTTTACACTGTGATAGTGAGCTTTCTTTCCCTAGATAACTTCGTAATTGCTTTCGCTACATAGTATTGTTTAAAATATCAAATTATAGGTGCTGGGTGTGGAGGTTTGACTCTAGTCAAAGCACTTTGCAGGCAAAGCTGGGAGAATCGCTTGAGGTGGGGAGTGTGAGAACAGCCTGGAAAACATAGCAAAATCTAATCTCTACTAAAAATAAAACAAAATTAGTTAGGCGTTGTGGGGTGCACCTATAGTCTCAGCTACTTAAGAGGTTGAGGCAAGGATTGCTTAAGAACAGGAGTTTGAGATCCTATGATACTCACTCCTGCAACACTGCTGTGGCCCATGAATTGGCTACATGACCAATGACACGGAAGGAACATGATTACAAAATTCCTGGCAAAAAAAAAAAATAGAAAAACTTTTGTGGATAAACTTCTCTCACTGGGTAAATTACATAAAGATATGTCTGTTCTATATGAATCCCTACTAAGGGGTAACCGTATCAGAGCATGATTTTGATAATGATGTGGACAGAATGTCTTGTTCCGTGAGTATGGGTCATTCTTACTTCCCTGTCACCCCCATCATCACCCAATGGGCTTATAAACAAGGTGAACATAGTAGCAGAAATAGAAGCAATGCACGGGCTAAGCAATATGAACTTTGAATCCCAAAGGCCAGTCTGGCTACAGTCAATTCTGAATGTTTAATTTGACAGCAGCACAGATCTACACTGAGTCTTTGATATGACATCATTTCCAGGGTGATCCACCAGGCACCTGGTAGTAAATTTATTACGTTGAATAACTTTTATAATATAGGCGGCAACAGTTTGTACTCACTGGAGTAGGCTCTTACTATGGATACAAATTTGCTTTCCCTGGGTGGAATTCTGCCAAAACTACCCTCCATGGACTCACAGAATCCCTCATCCATCCCTATGATATTCCACTTAGCATTGCTCAGACCAAGAAACTCACTTCACAGCCAAAGTGTAGCAGTGTGCTCATCTTCACGGATGTCAGTGGACTTACCATGCTTTCCATTATCTGGAAGCAACTGGATTAATAGAATGATAGGTTTGTCAGCATTTCCAGCCACCCTAACACCTATATCTCCCTGTGCACCCTAAGGGACTCCACAGAATGGTGAATTAGATACATATATCCAAAGGAACTACATACATTTGTGTTCCCCCATCCAAACCTCCAATCGTATGTAGTTTAATATTTAAAGTTGCTGAAGTTAGCTGTAGACAAAGGACAAAAATTAGAAGTGCAGAGGGAATGGGTTCCTTCATGTGGGTAAAGGAGAGACTTACAAAACCTGCTTAATGTGGCTTTTTGCAGTCTTTTTGCTGCTCACAGCTGAACCACATGAACTTCTACTGTTTTGGACTCATCCAAACCTCAACATTAGCTTTAAGAGCTCCTTGATTTTCCAGCAGGAGAAAAGTGAACATGCAAAGCTCTCAGGTTCATTGTTATAATCCTCTCAAGGATCAGTCTCATTAGCAGACAGCAGAGTCTTGATCTCTTGCTTCACCAAACTAACCACTTGGCCGAGAGAATTTGCTGTTGGTCCTGGGGGAACTTCTCATATCCCTTGCAAGCTCTTCAAGTATTTGTTCCTTTTCCCCTTTCAGAAAGTTGTGTTTATCTCAGCATGCCATAGTCATCTCCAAAATTAAATAATTGTGACGTATCTAAGATTTTATAGCATTTGTAAACAACATATTAACCTTCCATTTTCATCGATGCTGGTAGAAGGCATGAGACACTGAAGTATGAAAAAAAATACCTACTATTTACTGCTTACCTGGAGGCAAAAGCCTCATATTTGTATTAGTTCTCCTTGTCCATACTACGTTTTTTGAAGGATTTCAAAAGGCTCATATGGACATTGTACATGGGGAAGATTTGTGTCATAGCTGAGCAGACTCAAGACTAAGAAACCTCAATCTTTTTAAAGTAGGTTACATGGAAGCCTGTCCAACCTTTGCGTCACAAAGAAAAATTGTCTTTATTATATTGATTGAGTAATTTATCTGCCATTCACCTGAAGAGAAAAACTACTACCCTTTTTCCAGGTTATTTGTGTACAAAAATCTTTGAAAAATAACGTGGAACAGGACAGGTATGTGATGTAATCCACAACAAAACAACAAACTCTAAGAGACTTGTGGAGAACTACATCTCAGTAGCATGCATCTTTCCCATTAAATGTTGCACTAAGCAATCCTGTGATAAAAGACAATCCATTGAAGACTTTCGACATGAAGACTAACCTCGGTTGTTTTGTGTCGTGGGATTGTTCAAGTGATTCTCCAGTGTCAGCCTCCAAAGTAGCTGGGAATACAGTCTCCCAAGACCACGCTCAGCTTATTTTTGTATTTTTAGTAGAGGCGGGGTTTTACCATATTGGCCAGACAGGTCTCGAACTCCTGATCTCAGGTGGTCCGCCTGCCTTGGCCTCACAAAGTGCTAGGAATATAGGCATGAGCCTCCGTGCCCGGCCCCAGAAATGAAAGTTCTAGTGCGCAGTAATGTAATTCTGACAGATAAATGACAGGTGAGAGTAAGTGAAAAATCTAACACAATTTAACATTTTTACATATTTAGACATATTGAAATTGGTTAGCTTATTGGAAAAAGTTAAATGACTAGTAATATATACAGCATATTTATTCTGAATGAATTGCTAATCTAGATTTGAGACATGAAATAATTATTTTTACAACACAGAAACATAAACTGCATTTCCATATACAATTAACAATTTGACAGTAAATTAAGAAAACAATTGTTCGCAACAACATTAAAATAATATAATTCTTAGCAATAAATTTAATAAGGAGGTAAATATCTTGTACAATAAAAAATACAGGATCAGAATGTTTATGAAAAAAACTAAAAAGGACTTAAATAACTGGCAACAAATTCCATGTTCCTGAACCGGAAGATTTAATGAAGTTAAGATGACAATACCACTGCCCAAAGGAGTGTACAGATGTACTGTAATCCCAAGTTTTCATTTTTCCAACTTTTCTTCTGCAAAAAGAAAATAGCTCATTTAAAACTTCATATGGAATTTGAACATCCTCTGAATGTACAGAATAATCTTGAAAAGAAGGACAAAATTAGGTGGCTCACAATTTTAAATTTGAAAACATAAAAAGCTACTAAAATTATAACAGTTTGATAGTGGCATAAGAACAATTGTGGAGATCAAATAAATAAAATAGATACTCCAAAAAACCCTTTCATAAATTATTGTTTGTCTTTTTAAAAGTGTGTCTTAATCATTATGTAAAGACAGTTTGTTACACAAGAAATGCTGGGAAAACAAGTCCACATTTAAACCAGTAAAGTTGAATCTTTATCACATTCCAAGTAGAAAAATTAAATAAAAATTGATTAAAGATATAAAAACAAGTGTTAAACTTTAGTGGTTTCTAATAGTTGTTTTTATTTAACTGGGGACAGCACTAACATGAACAACTTTATACACACAAACTAGAAAACTTTAACGAAATAAATAGATTCCTAGATATACACACTCTCTCAAGATTAAGCCAGGAAGACAATGATTTCCTGAACAGACCAGTAAAAAACTCTGATATTAAATAGGTAATAAGTAGCTTGCCAATCAAAAAAAAAAGCTCTGGACTTTATGGACTTACAGCCAAATTCTACCAAATGTACAAAGAAGAGCTGGTACAATTCCTACAGAAACTATACCCAAAAATTGAGAAGGAGGGTCTTCTCCCCAACTCATTCTATGAGGACAGCATGATCTTGACACCAAAACAGGCAGAGACACAACAAAAACACAAAAAATTAGCCGGGCTTGGTAGCAGACACCTGTAGTCCCAGCTACTTGGGAGGCTGAAGCAGGAGAATGGCGTGAACTCAGGAGGCAGAGATTGCATTAAGCAGAGATCGCGCCAGTGCAATCCACTCCAGCCTGGGCAACAGAGGGAGACACCGTCAAAAAAAAAAAAAAAAAGAAAGAAGGGAAAGAAAACTTCAGGCCAACATTCTTGACGAACATCAATACAAAAGTTCTCAACAAAATATTTGGGAGGCAAATCCAGCAGCACATCAAACAGGTAATCCGTCATGATCAAGTAGGCTTCCTCCTTAGGACGCAAGGTTGGTCCATCATGTGCAAATCAATAAATGTAATACATTACATAAACAGAACTAAAAACAAAAAAAAGATGATTATCTCAATAGACGCAGAAAATAATAAAAGCCGTCTATAAGAAACCCACAGCCAACAATGTGTTGAATGGGCAAAAGCCGGGAACATTATTTTTTAAAACCAGTAGAAGGCAAGAATGCCCTCTCTTGCCATTTCTATTCAACTTAGTATTGACAGTACTGACCAGAGCAATCAGGCTAGAGAAAGAAATCCGAAGAACATCCAAATAGGAAGAGAGAAAGCCAAACTATTTCTGTTTGCAGATAACATAATTCTCTATCTAGAAAACCCTGTAGTTTCATCTACAAAGCTTCTTTAGTTAACAAACAGCTTCAGCAAAGTTTCAAGATACTAAATCAATGTGCAAAGATCACTAACATTTTTCTACACCAACGATAGCCACACTGACAGCAAAATCAGAAAGGCCATCCCATTCACAATTGCCACTAAAATAATAAAATATCTGGAAATGCAGCTCACCAGGGAGGTGAAAGAGCTCTACAATGAGATTTACAAAACACTGCTCAAAGAAATCAGAGAAGATACAAACAAATGGAAAACCATCCCATGCTCACGGATAGGAAGATGCAATATCACTAAAATGGCTATACTTCACAAAGAAATTTACAGATTTAATACTATTTCCATCAAACTGCCAATGAAATTTTTTACGGAGCTAGAAAAAACTATTTGAAAACTCATATAGGCCGGGGGCTGTGGCTCACACCTGTAATCCCAGCACTCTGGGAGGCCAAGGGGTGTGGATCATGAGGTCAGGAGATCCAGACCGTCCTGGTCAACATGGCAAAACTCCTTCTCTACTAAAAATACAAAAAATAGCTGGGAGTAATGGCAGCGCTTGTAATCCCAGCTACTTGGGAGGCTGAGGCAGGAGAATCCCTTGAACATGTATATAATATATACGTATGTTATACATATATTTATTATACTTTAAGTTCTAGGGTACATGTGCACAACGTGCAGGTTTGTTACTTATGTATACATGTGCCATGTTGGTGAGCTGCACCCATTAACTCGTCATTTACATTAGGTATATCTCCAAATGCTATCCCTCCCCCCTCCCCCCCCAACAACATTCCCCAGTGGGTAATGTTACCCTTCCTGTGTCCAAGTGTTCTCATTGTTCAATTCCCACCTATAAGCGAGAACATGTGGTGTTTGTTTTTTTTTGTCCTTGTGATAGTTTGCTGAGAATTATCTTTTCCAGCTTCATCCATGTACACACAAAGGACATGAACTCATCATTTTTTATGGCTGCATAGCATTCCATGGTGTATATGGGCCACATTTGCTTGATCCAGTCTATCATTGTTGGACATTTCGGTTGGTTCCAAGTATTTGCATTGTGAGTAGTGCCACAATAAACATACGTGTGCATGTGCCTTTATAGCAGCACCTAACATGACTTTTCTTATTTTCTTAGATTGTGAGTTTCTTTCAGACTAGGACTCTGCTGAGTCAGCTCTCTGTCCTCCCTGTACTCCTTATCACAGTGCTTGGCTATGACAGATGTTTAATAAATATTTGAGAAACACAGTAAATCCATATGAGTGACACAATGTTACGGAAAACTCTGGTCATTCAACAAATTCTATTCTCCCATTTATTAGGGACACAGCAGAATTACATTTCTTAGCCTCATTTGCATGAGATGTGGAAACGTGACCAGTTATTGTTAATGGTTGTAGAGTGAGATGGATGTGAGTCACATTAAGATGAGTCCATCAAGTCTTCTCGCATGCATTTCTTAAAGTACTTTATTTTCAGGGGACTGAACACAAACGGCAACCACGACTCATGGATGATGAAGACAAATAATGAAAGAACTTTGAGTTTCTGAATGACCACATGGAGAGGAGGTGCCTTTTCAATTTGGCCACCGAACAACTCTGTGATGTGTGCTAAAAAGTGCTGTTAATCTACTGCAAATTAGGGATGTGCTGGTATTTGACAGTTCAGCATAATCTAAAACATGCACTTAAAAACCTATTCACTGAATTAATTTAAAAGGCATTTTTATAGTACACTTAAGATGACAAACGTTAAGGTGGTCTTGCAATTTTTACCCTTCCATTTTGACCGTACTATGTTATATTAGAGAACTTGAGCCACATAAATGATCAGTTTTTATTGCGTCTATTTGATTCTTCTCTCTTTTCTTCTTTACTAGTCTTGCTAGCAGTCTATCAATTTTGTTGATCGTTTCAAAAACCAGCTCCTGAATTCACTGATTTTTTGAAGGGTTTTTTATGTTTCTATTTCTTTCAATTCTGCTCTGATCTTAGTTATTTCTTGCCTTCTGCTAGCTTTTGAATGTGTTTGCTCTTGCTTCTCTAGTTCTTTTAATTGTGATGATAGGGTGTCAATTTTAGATCTTCTCTGCTTTCTCTTGTGGGCCTTTAGTGCTATAAATTTCCCTCTACACGCTGCTTTGAATGTGTCCCATAGATTCTGGTATGTTGTGTCTTTGTTCTCGTTGCTTTCAAAGAACATCTTTATTTCTGCCTTCGTTTCGTTATGTACCCAGTAGTCATTCGGGAGCAGGTTGTTTGGTTTCCATGTAGTTGAGCGGTTTTGAGTGAGTTTCTTAATCCTGAGTTCTAGTTTTATTGCAGTGTGGTCTGAGAGAGAGGTTTTTATAATTTCTGTTCTTTTACAATTTGCTGAGGAGTGCTTTACTTCCAACTATGTGGTCAATTTTGGAATAAGTGCGGTGCGGTGCTGAGAAGAATGTATATTCTGTTGATTTGGGGTGGACAGTTCTGTAGATGTCTATTAGGTCTGCTTGGTGCAGAGCTGAGTTCAATTCCTGGATATCCTTGTTAACTATCTGTCTCATTGATATGTCTAATGTTGACAGTGGGGTGTTAAAATCTCCCATTACTATTGTGTGGGAGTCTAAGTCTCTTTCTAGGTCTCTAAGGACTTGCTTTATGAATCTGTGTGCTCCTATATTGGGTGCATATATATTCAGGATAATTAGCTCTTCTTATTGCATTGATCCCTTTATCATTACGTAATGGACTTCTTTGTCTCTTTTGATCTTTATTGTTTTAAAGTCTGTTTTATCAGACACTAGGATTGTAACCCCTGCCTTTTTCTGTTTTCCATTTGCTTGGTAGATCTTCCTCCATCCCTTTATTTTGAGCCTATGTGTGTCTCTGCACGTGAGATGCGTTTCCTGAATACAGAACACTGATGGGTCTTGACTCTTTATCCAATTTGCCAGTCTGTGTCTTTTAATGGGAGAATTTAGTCCATTTACTTTTAAGGTTAATATTGTTTTGTGTGCATTTGATCCTGTCATTATGATGTTAGCTGGTTATTTTGCTCGTTAGTTGATGCAGTTTCTTCCTAGCCTCGATGGTCTTTACAACTTGGCATGTTTTTGCAGTGGCTGGTACCGGTTGTTCCTTTCCATGTTTAGTGCTTCCTTCAGGAGCTCTTTTAGGGCAGGCCTGGTGGTGACAAAATCTCTCATCGTTTGCTTGTATGTAAAGGATTTTATTTCTCCTTCACTTATGAAGCTTAGTTTGAATGAATATGAAATTCTGGATTGAAAATTCTTTTCTTTAAGAATGTTGAATATTGTTCCCCACTCTTCTGGCTTGTAGAGTTTCTGCCGAGAGATCAGCTGTTAGTCTGATGGGCTTCCCTTTGTGGGTAACCCGACCTTTCTCTCTGGCTGCCCTTAACATTTTTTCCTTCATTTCAACTTTGGTGAATCTGACAATTATGTGTCTTGGAGTTGCTCTTCTTGAGGATTATCTTTTTGGTGTTCTCTGTATTTCCTGAATTTGAATGTCACCCTCCCTTGCTAGATTGGGGAAGTTCTCATGGATAATATCCTTCAGAGTGTTTTCCAACTTGTTTCCATTCTCCTCATAACTTTCAGGTACACCAATCAGATGTAGATTTGGTCTTTTCACACAGTCCCATATTTCTTGGAGGTTTTGTTCATTTCTTTTTATCTTTTTCTCTCTAAACTTCTTTTCTCACTTCATTTCATTCATTTGATCTTCCATCACTGACACCCTTTCTTCCAGTTCATCGAATTGGCTACTGAGGCTTGTGCATTCATCACGTACTTCTCGTACATTGGTTTTCAGCTCCATCAGGTCCTTTACGAACTTCTCTGCATTGGTTATTCTAGTTAGCTATTCATCTAATTTTTTTAAAGGTTTTTCACTTCTTTGCCATGGGTTTGAACTTCCTCCTTTAGCTCGGAGTAGTTTGATCGTCTGAAGCCTTCTTCTCTCAATTCGTCAAAGTCATTCTCTGTCCAGCTTTGTTCCATTGCTGGTGAGGAGCTGTGTTCCTTTGGAGGTGGAGAGATACTCTGATTTTTAGAATTTTCCGTTTTTCTGCTCTGTTTTTTCCCCATCTTTGTAGTTTTCTCTCCTTTGGTCTTTGATGATTGTGATGTACAGATGGGATTTTGTTGTGGATGTACTTTCTGTTTGTTAGTTTTCCTTCTAACAGTCAGAACCCTCAGCTGCAGGTCTGTTGGAGTTTGCTGGAGGTCCACTCCAGACCCTGTTTGCCTGGGTATCAGCAGTGGAGGCTGCAGAACAGCGGATATTGGTGAAAAGCAAATATTGCTGCCTGATTGTTCCTCTGGAAATTTTGTCTCAGAGGAGTACCCGGCCGTGTGAGGTGTCAGTCTGCCCCTACTGGGGATGCTTCCCAGATAGGCTACTCGGGGGTCAGGGACCCACTTGAGGAGGCAGTCTGTCTGTTCTCAGATCTCCAGTTGCATGCTGGGATAACCACTACTCTCTTCAAAGCTGTCAGACAGGGACATTTAAGTCTGCAGAGGATTCTGCTGCCATTTGTTTGGCTATTCCCTGCCCCCAGAGGTGGAGTCTACAGAGTCAGGCAGGCCTCCTTGAGATGCAGTTGGCTCCACCCAGTTGGAGCTTCCTGGCTGCTTTGTTTACCTACTCAAGCCACGGCAATGGTGGGCGCCCCTCCCCCAGGCTTGTTGTTGCCTTGCAGTTTGATCTCAGACTGCTGTGCTAGCAATGATTGTGGCTCTGTGGGCGTAGGACCCTCTGAGCCAGGTGCAGGATATAATCTCCTGGTATGCCGTTTGCTAAGACCTTTGGAACAGTACAGTGTTAGGGTGGGAGTCACCCGATTTTCCAGGTGCAATCTGTCACCCCTTTCTTTGACTAGGAAAGGGTATTCCCTGACCCCTTGCACTTCCTGGGTGAGGCGATGCCTCACCATGCTTTGGCTCACATGGGGTGCGCTGCACCCACTGTCCTGCACCCACTTTCTGACACTCCCCAGTGAGATGAGCCCGGTACCTCAGTTGGAAATGCAGAAATCACCTGTGTTCTGCATTGCCGATGCTGGGAGTTCTAGACTAAGGCTTTTCCTATTCGCCCATCTTGGCTCCACCCCCTCTCTAATTAAATTTTAATGTGAATAGTCTGAAATTATTTTTTCTATATCCTTCAGTTTTTTCATAATTCTTCTCTAACTTTTAGGTTCTATGTTTATGCCCCTTACATTTTCCAGAAATGTTTCTGAAGATTATTGCCCATTTTAAAGTTAAACTAATTTTTTATTTAGTTTTTTGTTTATTCTGTATTCTGCTTATCAATCGCTTGTCAGCTGTGTAGTTTGCACATATTTCCTCTCATTTTCTTTCTTTTTTTTTGAGACAGTCTTGCTCTGTCACCCATGCTGGAGTGCAGTGGCACGATCTCAGCTCACTGTAACCTCCACCTCCTGGGTTCAAGAGATTCCCTGGCCTCAGCCTCCTGAGCAATTGGGCTTTCAGGAACCACGCCCGGCTAATTTTTGTATTTTTAGTAGACACAGTGTTTCACCATGTCAGCCAGGCTGGTCTAGAACTCCTGACCTCAGGTGATCCACCAGCCTCAGCCTCCCAAAATACTGAGTTTATAGGTGTGAGCCATCGTCCCTGGCCAATAGAATATTATTTATACAATGGAGTATTAGCTAGCCATAAAAATAAATACAGAACTGATATGTGCCACAACATGGATAAATAATGAAAACACGCTCAAAGAGAAAAGCCAAAGAAAAAAGGTCACATATTATATTATTATATTTCTATAAAGTGACTAGAATAGAAAACTAGAAATAGAAGCCGGGTGTGATGGCTCACGCCTGTAATCCCAGCACTTTGGGTGGCCGAAGCAGGCAGATCACGACGTCAGGAGATCGAGACCATGCTGGCTAACATGGTGAAACCCTGTCTCTACTAAAAATACAAAGAAAAATAGCTGGGCGTGCTGACAGGCATCTGTAGTCCCAGCTACCCTGGAGGCTGAGGCAGGAGAATGGCGTGAACCAGGGAGGTGGAGCTTGCAGCGAGCCGAGATCGTGCCACTGCACTCTAGCATGGGTGACAGAGTGAGACACCAAAAAAAAAAAAAAAAAAGGAAAGAAAGAAAGAGAGTACTAGAGATAGAAAGTCAATCAGTGGTTACCAAGGAAATTCGGTGGATGAATGATAAATTACTGCTTAATGGATATGGAGTTTTTTTGGTGAGAGGGTGATGAAACTATTTTGGAATTTGATAAGGGTGACAGTTGCATAGCATTGTAAATAAACTGAAAAGCACTGAATTTTACACTTTATATTAGATAGTATGTAGAACTCTATATTGTGTAAATTTTAGCTGACTAAAACATTTTAACAAGCAAAGAAAAATAAACTGTAGGCTTTGTGTGGTGGCTCACACCTATAATCTCAGTTTTTTTCAGAGGCTGATACAAGCAGATCACGAGGTGAAGAGATCGAGACCATCCTGGACAACATGGCGAAACCCCGTCTCTACTAATAATACAAAAATTAGCCAGGCTTGGTGGCACGCCCTTATATTCCCAGCTACTCAGGAGGCTGAGGCAGGAGAATCACTTGAACCTGGGAGGTGGAGGTTGCAGTGAATCACTTGAACCCGGGAGGTGGAGGTTGCAGTGAGCCGAGATCATGCCACTCCACTCCAGTCCCGTGAAAGAGCGAGAAGAGAGAGACTCTGATAAAGAAAGAAAGAAAGAAAGAAAGAAAGAAAGAAAGAAGAAAGAAAGAAAGAAGAAAGAAAAAAGAAAATAAGGAAAGAAAGAAAAGAAAGGGAGGGAGGAAGGAAGGAGAAAGAAAGAGAAAGAAAGAAAGAAAGAAAGAAAAGGAAGGAAGGAATGAAGGAAGAGGAAAGAAAGAAAGAAGAAAGAAAGAAACGGAAGGAAGGAATGAAGGAAGAACAAAAGAAAGAGAAAGAAGAAAGAAAGGAAGAAAGAAAAGAAACGAAGGAGAAAGAAAGAAAGAGAAAGAAAAAGAAGGAAAGAAAGAAAGAAGAAAGAAAGAAAAAGAAAGAAGAAAGAAAGAAAGAAGAAAGAAAGAAAGAAAGAAAGAAAGAAAGAAAGACAGAAAAAAGAAATACTATGAAACAGGAGGGCAAATGAGGGAGCCCTGGAAAACGATTCTGTCTCCACTTTCAAAAAAGATCGCCCCCTCCAAAAAAAAGATCCCCAAAGCTCTGACCGAGAAGGTCTTCTCCTTGGATCCCAGAGCAGTGGTCTGAGGATCTGTCACATTCTACACCAGCCTGAGTGCTCAGTCCCGCACACCCCTAGGCCACTTTCTGCTCTGAAAGACCTTCGGAGGACACAGAGCAATTTCCAAAGTTCTGAGAGTACAGTGGTAATTGATAGACAGCAAGGTCAACTCACTTCTTTAAGCCTTTCAAATTTAGGGGTCACACAGTTCAATTATGTCAATTTGTACAGGGAAAAATTGAAGGTTTTCACTACTGTATTCCTCTCCATATTGGGTGTAGGGGGATTCCTTACCATTTTAATTATGCAGATTAATGAATGGAGAAAGTAAGGTTTTGTCCTTGGAAAGCTATCCTGGTGTTGGCTGCAGCCCAGTCAGATCCATGGAAGCCTTGAGCCTCTCAAGCCATCAGCCTATTGCCTTCCCCTGCCCATGTTATGGGTCCTGGGCATGTTACCAGAAGATGGGGTGCTTCTACCCCATGACAAAGCTGCCCCTATCCTCTATCTTTTTTCTTCTCATCACTCCATCAGCGTTAACTCCTCTTATGACCTTTAGCCTGAGAAGTCTGTGTGTGTATGCACAAACCTGTGGAATTCTATGATGCAGACATGAGTTTGCTTCATATGACGAGAAAATTGGCAAAAATCCCCAGGATCTCAGGGACTCATTCCCAAAACAAACCCCATGAGAGTGTTGAGCCCTGGCCTAGGAGGTCAGAATGCTCTTTTTTCCCTTGGACTCTGCCCACTTCATCATCTCTGGGCCAGTCCCTGCTTCTCTCCAGACCTCAGTTTTTCAGATATCCAATGAGATGTGAGATGTCAAAATGCTTAAGCCACAGCTCAACATGCATATGGTCTAACGTCCCTACCAACTAGGATTGGTGTAGCAAGGCTGTGATCAGGGTGTTCCCAGATCTTCCTCACTTGGGAAGAAATAGATGGGTTCTGCACTGGGCACATGGACCTTCTGTTCAAGAAGGGTCATACACACTTGATCTTTCAAGGCCCACAGACAATGTGTGCAAGTGAGCCCCACCTCCACCCCCAAACAGCTTCCATGGAGCATAACAATATGTCCCCTGTCCTCTGAGTCTGGAAAGTAGTGACATCCTCACTTAACACATGGATTGATGGACCCTTTGTATAATTAAATCTTCCCCACTACTGCCTCCACCACTATGCAGATAGAAAAAAGTCTTAGGAAAGTGACATAACATCCAGAATTACACAGAGATTCCATGGCAAAGCTAGCACTTTAGTTAGGATTACATTTTCCTACATATAGAAGAAAACCCAGACCGGGTGCTGTAGTTCACGCCTGTTATCCCAACACATTGGGAGGTTGAGGCAGACGGATCACCAGAGGTCTGGAGTTTAAGACCAGCCTGACCAACATAGAGAAACCCAGTCTCTACCAAAAATACAAAATTTTCCAGGCGTAGTGGTGCATGCCTGTAATCCCTGCTTCTTGAGAGGCTGAGGCAGGAGAATCGCTTGAACCCGGGAGGTAGAGATTGTGGTGAACCGAGATCGCGCCATTGCACTCCAGTCTGGGCAATAAGAGTGAAACTCCGTCTCAAAAAAATTAAAAAAGAAAACCCAATATAATAGTGCAGATAAGAGAGAGAATGCTTTCTTTCTCATAAATAAGGATGTTAGAGCTGGGCAGTCTGACTCTGAACTGTACACGAAGGTAGTCAAAAATAGTCTGTCATTTTGCTAAAATGTTTTTCTTTTTTGAACTTTGTTTTAAGTTCAGGGGTATATGGGCAGGATGTGCAGGTTCTTTAAATATGGAAACATACCGTCCCGAAGTTTGGTTGTGCAGATTGTTTTATCACCCAGGTATTAAGTCTACTAACTATTAGTTATTTTTTCTGATTCTCTCCCTCCTCTCACCCCCTACCTCCTGATAGGCCCTGGTGCGTGTTGCTCCCCTCCATGTTTCTGTGTGTTCTCATCATCTACCCTCCACTTATAAGTGAGAAAATGTGGTATTTGGTTTTCTGTTTCTGTTAGTTTTTTAAGGATAATGGCCTCCAGCTCCATCCATGTCCCTACAAAGGACATAATCTTGTGCTTTTTTATGGCTGCATAGTACTCCATGTTGTATATGAACTACGTTTTCTTCAACCAGTCTATTATTGATGAACATGTAGGCTGATTTGATGTCTTTGCTATTGTGAATAGGGCTGTGATGAACTTGTGCGTGCAGGTATCTTTATAATAGAATGACTTATATTTGTTTGGGTATATACCCAGTAATGAGATTGCTAGGTCAAATGGTATTCTTTTCTTTAGGTCTTTGAAGAATCACCACACTGTCTTCCACAACGTTTGAACTCGACCAACAGGGTAAAAATGTTGCTTTTTCTCCACAACTTTGTCAGCATCTGTGATTTTTTGATTTTTTCATGGTAACCATTATACCTGGTATAAAATGATATCTCATTGTGGTTTGGATTTACATTTCTCTAATGGTCACTGATGTTGAACTTCTGTTTCATACGCTTATTGGCTGCATGTATGTCTTCTTTCAAGAAGTGTTTCTGTGTGTCCTTTGGCCAATTTTTAATAAGGTTGTTTGTTTTTCTCGTGTAAATTTATGTTCCTTATGGATGCTAGAAATTAGATTATTGTCAGATGCACAGTTTGCAAAAATTTTCTCCCATTCTATACATTGTCTGTTTACTCTGTTGATAGTTTCTTTTGCTGTGCAAAAGCTCTTTAGTTTAATTAGATCCCATTTGTCAATGTTCTCTTTGTTCTAATTGCTTTTGCGCCTTCATCATAAAATATTTGCCCATGCCTATGTCCTGAATGGTATTGCCTAGGTTGTCTTCCAAAGTTTTTATAGTCTTGGGTTTTACATTTAAACCATGTTGAGTTTATTGTTGTATATGATGTAAGGAATCTTTCTTTATTTTTTAAATTTAAATTGGGTTCTGAAGTACAAGTGCAGAATGTGTAGGTTTGTTACATTGGTATATGTGTGCCATGGTGGTTTACTGCACCTATCAGCCCGTTATCCAGGCTTCAAGTCCCACATGTATTAGCTAGTTATCCTAATGCTCTCCCTCCCTTCGACTCCCATTCCCTGACTAGCCCCAGTTGTGTTGTTTCCCTTCCAGTGTCCATGTGTTCTTATTGTTCAACTCCCACTTATGAGTGAGAATATGCGGTGGTTAGTTTTCTGTTCCTGTGTTAGTTGCAGAGGATGATGGAGGAAGGGGTTCAGTTTCAATTTTTTGCACATGGCTAGGCAGTTATCCCAGCACCATTTATTGAGTACAGAGTCGTTTTTTCATTGCTTGTTTTTGTCAGGTTTGTCGAAGATCAGTTAGTTGTAGGTGTGCAGTCTTATTTCTGGGTCCTCTATTCTGTTTCATTGGTCTGTGTGTCTGTTCTTGTACCAGTACCATGCTGTTTTGGTTTCTGTAGCCCTGTAGCACAGTTTGAAGTTGGGTAGTGTGATGCCTCCAGCTTAGTTCTTTTTGTTTGGGGTTGTCTTGACTATTCAGGCCTTTGTTGGTTCCATATAAATTTTAAAATAGCTTTTCTAGTTTTGTGAAAAATGTCATTGGTAGTTTAACGGAAATACTATTAACTCTATAAATTTCTTTGTGGAGTGTGTCTACTTTAACAATATTAACTCTTTCTATCCATAAGCATGAAATGTTTTTCTATTTGTTTATGTCATGTCTGATTTCTTTGAGAAGTGGTTTATAGTTCTCCTTGTAGTGGCCTTTCACTTCTCTTGTTAGATACATTCCTTGGTATTTTATTCTTTTTGTGGTAACTGTGAATGAGTGTTCATTCACGATTTTGCTCTTGGCTTGACTGTTGTTGGTATATAAGGATTTAGTGCTAGTGATTTTGGCCCATTTATTTTGTATCTTGGGACTTTGTTAAAGATATTTATCAGCTTAAGAAGCTTTGGGGTTGAGACAATAGGGGTTTTCAAGATATAGAATCATGTCGTCTGACATCAGGTGTTGTTTAATTTCTTTTCTTTCAATTTGAATGCCTTTTTCTCTTACCTGATTGCTCTGCCCAGTACTTCCAATACTATCTGAAATAGGATTCATGAGAGAGGGCATCCTTGTCTTGTGCCCGTTTTAAAAGGGAATGCTTTCAGCTTTTGCCCTTTCAGTATGATATTGGCTGTGGGTTTGTCATACATGGTTCTTATTATATTGAAGTATGTTTTTTTCAATACCTAGTTTATTGAGAGTTTTTACAAGAATGGATGTTGAATTTTATGGATGCAAAGATTTATCTGCATCTATTCAGACAATCATGTGGCTTTTGTCTTTAGTTCTGTTTATGTGATAAATCACATATTGATTTGTGTACGTTGAATTAAAGTTGCATCCCACAGATGGAGCCTACTTGATTGTGGTGGATAAGCTTTCTGATGCGCTGCTGGATTTGGTTTGCCCCTATTTTGTTAAGAATGTTTGCATAAATGTTCATCAAAAATATTGGCATGAAGTTTTTTTTTTTCTTTTTTTATTTTATTATTATTATACTTTAAGTTTTAGGGTACATGTGCACAATGTGCAGGTTAGTTACATATGTACGCATGCACCATGCTTGTGTGCTGCACCCATTAACTCGACATTTAGCATTAGGTATATCTCCCAATGCTATCCTTCTCCCCTCCCCCCTCATCACAACAGTCCCCAGAGTGTGATGTTCCCCTTCCTGTGTCCATGTGATCTCATTGTTCAATTCCCACCTATGAGTGAGAACATGCGGTGTTTGGTTTTTTTGTTCTTGTGATAGTTTACTGAGAATGATGATTTCCAATTTAATCCGTGTCCCTACAAAGGACATGA
This sequence comes from Homo sapiens, assembly GCF_000001405.40. Taxonomy (NCBI): domain Eukaryota; kingdom Metazoa; phylum Chordata; class Mammalia; order Primates; family Hominidae; genus Homo; species Homo sapiens. The sequence goes on along the minus strand of NC_000021.9, from coordinate 5,778,169 downwards.
ACTCATCATTTTTTATGGCTGCATAGTATTCCATGGTGTATATGTGCCACATTTTCTTAATCCAGTCTATCATTGTTGGACATTTGGGTTGGTTCCAAGTCTTTGCTATTGTGAATAGTGCCGCAATAAACAAACGTGTGCCTGTGTCTTTAAAGCAGCATGATTTATAGTCCTTTGTGTATATACCCAGAAATGGGATGGCTGGGTCAAATGGTATTTCTAGTTCTAGATCCCTGACGAATTGCCACACTGACTTCCACAATGGTTGAACTAGTTTACAGTCCCACCAACAGTGTAAAAGTGTTCCTATTTCTCCACATCTCCTCCAGCACCTGTTGTTTCCTGACTTTTTAATGATTGCCATTCTAACTGGTGTGAGATGGTATCTCATTGTGGTTTTGATTTGCATTTCTCTGATGGCCAGTGATGGTGAGCATTTTTTCATGTGTTTTTTGGGTGCATAAATGTCTTCTTTTGAGAAGCGTCTGTTCATGTCCTTCGCCCACTTTTTGATGGGGTTGTTTTCTTCTTGCAAATTTTTTGAAGTTTTGTTTTTTTTCTTGTGTGTCTGCCAGGTTTTGGTACCAGGATGATGTGCTCTCATAGAAAGAGTCGGGAAGGAAGCCCTCTGTTTCAGTTTTTTGAAATAATTTTAGTGGGAATTGTACCAGTTCTTCTTCATAAATGTCATAACCTTCAGCTTTTAATCTTTGTGTTTCTGATCTTTTTGTGGTTTGTAGGCTATTTATTACTGCCTGAATTTCAGAGCCTGTTGTTTGTCTTTTCAGGGATTCAATTTCTTCCTGGTTTATTCTTGAAGGGTGTATGTGTCCAGAAATTTATCCATTTCTACTGAATTTGTTATCTTATAGGCATAGAGGTGTTTATGATATTTTCTGATGGTTATTTTTATTTCTGTGGGGTCAGTGGTAACCCTTATTATTTCTGATTGTGTTCATTTTAATTTTTGATATTTTCTTCCTTATTAGTCTACTACTGGTGTATTTATATTATTGGTTTTTTCAAAGAAAAAGAAACAGCTCCTGAATTTGTTGATCTGTTGAATGGTTTCTCTTGTCCCTATCTCCATCAGTTCAGGTCTGATTTTGGTTATTTCTTGTCTTCTGCTAGCTCTAGAACTTCTTTGCTCTTGTTCCTGTAGTTATTTTTGTTGTGAAGTTGTAACTTGAGACATTTCTGGCATTTTAATGTGGGCATTTAATGCCATAAATTTTCATCTTAATACTGCCTTAGCTGTGTCCCAGAGATTCTGGTATGTTTTGTCTTTGTTCTCATTGGTTTCAAAGAACTCCTTGATATCTGCCTTAATTTCATTATTTACCCAAAAGTTATTCAGGAGCAGGTGATTCAATTTCCATTTAATTTTATGGTTTTCAGTAAATTATTTCATCGTGAGTTTTAATTTGATTGTGCTGTGATCTGAGCCACTGTTTATTATGATTTCAGTTCTTTTGCATTTGCTGAAGAGTGTTTTACTTCTGGCTAAGTGACCAATTTCAGAGAAAGTGTCATGTAGTGATGAGAAGAATGTATATTCTGCTGTTTTCATGTGGAGAGTTCTGTAAATATATATCATGTCCATTTGATCCAGAGCTAAGTTCAGGTCCTGAACATCTTTGTTAATTTTCTGTCTCAATAATCTTTCTAATACTGTCAGTGGGATGTTAAAGTCGGTCACTATTATTGTGTGGTGTTCTAAGTCTCTTTCAAGATATCTAGAAACTTGTTATATGAATCTGGGTACTCTTGTGTTGGGTGCATATATATTTAGAATAGTTAATTCTTGTTGAATTGAATTATTTGCCGTTATGTAATGACCCTCTTTGTTGTTGTTGTTGTTGTTGTTTTTAATCTGTGTTGCTTTAAAGTCTGTTTTGTTGGAAAGTAAGACTGCAACCCTTGCTTTTTTAGGTTTTCCACTTGCTTGGTGAAATTTCCTCCATCCCTTTATTTTTAGCCTATGTGTGTCCCCGCATGTGAGATGGGTGTCTTGAAGAGCATACCAATGGGTCTTGGTTTTTATACAATTGCCACCCTGTGTGTTTCAACTGGGGCATTTATCCCATTTACATTTAAGGTAAGTATTGTTATGCGTAGATTTTATCTTGTTATCTTGATGCTAGCTGGTTATTTTTATTTTTCAGACTTGTTTATGTGGTTGATTTATAGTGTCAATGGTCTGTGTACTTGAGTGTGTTTTTGTGGTGGCTGGGAATAATTTTCCCTTTCCAAATTGGTGCTTCCTTCAGGAGCTCTTGAAAAGCATGTCTGGTGTTCATGAATTAACTCGGAATTTGCTTGTCTGAAAGGGATGTTATTTCTCCCCAGATTAAGCTTAGTTTGGCCAGATATAAAATTCTGGCTTAAAGTTTATTTTCTTTAAGAACGTTAAATATTGGCCCCCAATCTCTTTTGGCTTGTAGGGTTCTCACTGACAGCTCTGCTCTTAGTCTGATCAACTTCTTTTTGTAGGTGACTTGGCTTTTCTCTGCGGCTGAGCTTTTTTTTCTTTTTTTTTCTTCCATTTCAAGTTTGGGGAATCTGACGTTTATGTGTCTTGGGTATGATTTTTTCTTGGAGTATCTTACTGAACTTCTCTCCATTTTCTGAATTGTTGGCCAGTGTAGCAAGGTTGGGGAAGTTCTCATTGATGATATCCTGAAATATGTTTTCCTGATTGGTTCCATTCTCCCCAGCTCTTTCAAGTACACCAATCAGTTGTAGATTTGGTCTCTTTACATAATCCCATATTTCTCAAAGGTTTTGTTTATTCCTTTCATTCTTTTTTTCTATTCTTCTCTGCATGTCTTCTTTCAGAAATACAAACTTCAAGCTCTGAGTTTCTTTCCTCATTAATACTTGTGATTGCATTATGAAATTTTTGTATTGTGTTTTACAGTGCTATCGGGTTGGTTAGGCTCCTCTCTATCCTGGCTAATTTGTTTGTCAGCTCCTGCAATATTATATTGTAATTTTTAGCTTTCTTGTATTGAGTTAGAGCATGCTCCTTTAGATCAGTGAAGTTCATTTTTATCCACATTCTGGGGTCTACTTCTGTTATTTCAGGGATCACAGCCTCACCCTTATTCTGAACTCTTGCTGGAGAAGTAGTGTGGTCATTTGGGAGAGGGAGAGCACCCTGATTTTTGAGTTTTTAGTATTCTTGTTGTGATTCTCACCTTTGTGTGCCTATCTATCTTTAATCTTTGAGGTTGCTGGCCTTTGAATGAGATTTTTGTTTGTTTCTCTTCCTTTTAACTGTTTGGCCATTTTGTGTGGGGCTGCTGTAGTTTGTTGGGCATCTGCTCCACTCTCTTGTCACCTCGGATTTTCCAGTATCTGGGGGTATCACCAGTGAAGGCTGTGAAACAAGAAAGATAGCAGCCCACTCCCTTCCCTGGGAGCTCCATCCCAGGGCGGGTGCAGACATGTTGAGGGCTCGAACACACCTGTAGGAGGTGACTGGAAACCCCAGTTGGTAGGTCTCACCCAGCTAGGAGGAATAGGATTGGGGACCCACTTAAGCCATCTAGCCCCACTTTCATAGATCAGCCATGCTGTGCGGGGTACCATTTCTGCCCTTCATCAGATTGGGCTCTCCAAAGCCTGGAGGCTGAAACAGCAAAGTGGCTGAAACAGCAAAGATGGTGGCCAACCCCTCTCTCTAGGAACTCTGGCCCAGGAAGTTTTTAAACCTCTGCCAGCCAGACAACATCAGTGGGAGTTGCTGGAGGCCCTGGTTGGGAAGTTCCACCCAGAGATGCAGAGCATATTAGGTCCCACTTAAAGAAGCAATCTGATCACATTATGGCAGATCCACTGTGCTATGCTGGGGGATTCCTTCTTCCCTGGGATGGTTTGGACTCTCCTAAGCCCACTGATTGTTATGGCTGAGTTCTCCAAACAACAAATATGAAGACCCACTGCTCCCAATGTGCACTGCATCCAGGAATAAATCAAAACTCTGCCTGCCGGAGAATATGGAAGGGGCTGTCTGGAGGCTCTGGTAGGAGGCCCCACTCTGAGATGAAAAAGGTATCTGGGTCCCACTTCAAGAAGTAGTCCGGCCAAACTTTGGGAGGGCCAATGTGCCGTGCTAAGGGATTTCTTCCATCTGCCATGAGTTTTTTTTTTTTTTAACTCTCCTAAACCTCCAGGCTGGAATGGCTGAGTCATCCAAACAGCAAATATAGCAGCCAGCCCCTGCCTCCAGGAACGTTGTTCCATCCCAGGTAATTGCAATGCTGTTGCTGGGGGCTGGATGGAATTCCAAGCCAGTTGATCTTATCCTGTGAGGCGTCATGGAAGTGGGGCCCACTGATGCTGCTCAGGCCCATGGATTCAGCTTCCTTTCTAGGGGCATTTACGGAGATCCAACCTCCCACCTTGTCTGAGTTGCAGTCACCTTTGCCAGAGATCTCAGAGCCAAAATATGTAAAGCTCCTGCGATTCTGTTTGTGTCTGAGCAGTTGTTCTGCCGGGAACACGCAGCTCTGTGTATCAGACCAAAGGCCCTGGTGGAATAAGTTTACGAGAAAATCTCCTGATCCGAGAGTTGCAAAGATCCATGGGAGAAGTGTGGTTTCTCAGGGTCACGTATTTGCTCACCACTTCCTTGGGCAGGGTAGGTTCCCTTTGGTCTGTGTTACTCCCGGGTGGGCGGTTGCCATGCCCTTCTTTTTCCCATGGGTTGAGCTGTTTCCTTCATTAGTCCCACTGCAAATATCTGGGTGTTTCAGTTGATGGTGCTGTATTTATTTTCCCTCTTTGTTTCTTTTCATGAAAGCCACACACCATAGCTACTTCTAGTCAACCCTCTTGGCACACTTTGCTACAATATTTCAGTAGATGGTTTTTATCCTGTAGGCTGTCTCATGGTCCCATATGGCTGGCTGTAGGAGCACAAGCCTGCACCAGCAACCATGTCCATTTCAAAGGCTAAGAAGTAGGAAAGATGCAAGGTCAAAGTGGCTTGCACAGCTGCATCAGCTCCATCTGAGGAATCTCCCTGAAGTCCCATCAATACTTATGGTTACAACCAATTGTCTTGAATAGGGGTCAGAAACTATAACCTTTGTGTTTGTAAGTTGCTGTTTGAATAAAACTAAATTTCTAATTTTGTGTTTTGTTTTGTTTTGTTTTGTTTTGTTTTGTTTTGTTTGATGGAGTCTCACTCTGTCACCAGGCTGGAGTGCAGTGGTGTGATTTTGGCTCACTGAAACCTCTGACTCTTGGGTTCAAGTGATTCTCCTGCCTCAGCCTTTCAAGTAGCTGGGATTACAGGTGTGCTTGCATCACCATGCCCAAAATGCTGGGATTACAGGCATGAACAACCACACCCAGCCCTGACTCTCTGTTTTTAAGAGTGAAAGCAAAATTAAAACTGTGGCGATGACAAGTGCTCTTTTTCTACACTAAATTCAAAGGTAAACAGAAGAAGATGGAGGTTTTCTCAGGTGAAGTGGGCACTCATTTTTCAAACAAAGCCTTTTTTGGTGATTATTTATTTTCAGATCAGATGGGAAAAAAATCTGGGTTCTTGTAAGCACTCCCTTTATGACCAAATGTTAGTCAAGCTTAACTGAACCCTCTTTTTGACTAAGCCAACCTTGACTTCTTGCCCTGCTCCTGGTTTGAGAGGCTCACTTTCATAAATCCTGCTAATACTGTTTAGTAAAAATCCACATATCCCTTATGTCTACTAATATCGTGATTCCCTTTCTTTGATATTTAAGTCCTTAGCCAACCTGTAACCAGCCTTCTGCTATAAAAAGTTCCTCTTCCTCCTTTGGTATTTTATCAAATGTTTTTCAATAATTTTTATCCACTGATTTATTCTGCTTATTGACTATAAATTCTTCGTTGTCTGTGTTCAGAGTTATGATCAATTTCTGAACTGAACCCTATTACGATGGCCATAAAATCTACTACAATAGTATTAATGTCTTTCTTCCCAATTTTTAACAAACATCAGAAATTTTTATTTCACAGTTTCCCAACAGTATGTTTGAGTATAAAAACAGTTTTCAGTTTGCCCCCAAAAATGATGTGATCCACTGTGTAGATGTGTATGCCTGATCCTTGTGTCCAAAAAAGTATGTTTTTATTTAAATGGGGTGAGGGTGACAGATTATAGAGCCAATGTTTTCCTAAAATGCTGAGTCATAAGTGAAACCATACAAATCAAGAATATAGAATGCTTGGACTCCAACGTTTTTAACCCTGAGGATATTTTGATGTCCATAATTTATATTACTGTGAAAATAATGCACAAGAAAGAAAACTGATAGCTCTCCCTCTCCCTCTCCCTCTCCCTCACCCTCTCCATCTCCCCACGGTCTCTCTCTCCCTCTCTTTCCACGGTCTCCCTCTGATGCCGAGCCGAAGCTGGATGGTACTGCTGCCATCTCGGCTCACTGCAACCTCCCTGCCTGATTCTCCTGCCTCAGCCTGCCGAGTGCCTGCGATTGCAGGCGCGCGCCGCCACGCCTGACTGGTTTTCGTATTTTTTTGGTGGAGACGGGGTTTCGCTGTGTTGGCCGGGCTGAGCTCCTAACCGCGAGTGATCCGCCAGCCTCGGCCTCCCGAGATGCCGGGATTGCAGACGGAGACTCGTTCACTCAGTGCTCAATGGTGCCCAGGCTGGAGTGCAGTGGCGTGATCTTGGCTCGCTACAACCTCCACCTCCCAGCAGCCTGCCTTGGCCTCCCAAAGTGCCGAGATTGCAGCCTCTGCCCGGCCGCCACCCCGTCTGGGAAGTGAGGAGCGTCTCCACCTGGCCGCCCATCGTCTGGGATGTGAGGAGCCCCTCTGCCTGGCTGCCCAGTCTGGAAAGTGAGGAGCGTCTCTGCCCGGCCGCCATCCCATCTAGGAAGTGACGAGCGCCTCTTCCCGGCCGCCATCACATCTGGGAAGTGAGGAGCGTCTCTGCCCGGCCGCCCATCATCTGAGATGTGGGGAGCACCTCTGCCCTGCCGCCCCGTCCGGGATGTGAGGAATGTCTCTGCCCGGCCGCCCCGTCTGAGAAGTGAGGAGACCCTCTGCCTGGCAACCACCCCGTCTGAGAAGTGAGGAGCCCCTCCGCCCGGCAGTCACCCCGTCTCGGAAGTGAGGAGCGTCTCCGCCCGGCAGCCACCTCGTTCGGGAGTGAGGTGGGGGGGTCAGCCCCCCGCCTGGCCAGCCACCCCATCCGGAAGGGAGGTGGGGGGTCAGCCGCCCGCCCGGCCAGCCGCCTCCTCCGGGAGGGAGGTGGGTGGGTTAGCCCCCCACCCGGCCAGCCGCCCCATCCGGGAAGTGAGGGGTGCCTCTGCCTGGCAGCCCCTGATGGGAAGTGAGGAGCCTCTCTGCCCGGCCAGCCGCCCCGTCTGGGAGGGAGGTGGGGGGTCAGCCCCCCGCCCGGCCAGCCACCCCTTCTGGGGGGGAGAGAGGTGGGCGGGTCAGCCCCCCGCCCGGCCAGCCGCCCCGTCCGGGAGGTGAGGGGTGCCTCTGCCCGGCCACCCCTACTGGGAACTGAGGAGCCCCTCTGCCCGGCCAGCCACCCCATCCGGGAGGGAAGTGGGGGGGTCAGCCCCCCGCCCAGTCAGCCGCCCCGTCCGGGAGGGAGGTGGGGGGTCAGCCCCCCGCCCGGCCAGCCGCCCCATCCGGGAGGGAGGTGAGGGGGTCAGCCCCTCGCCCGGCCAGCCGCCCTGTCCAGGAGGGAGGTGGGGGGGTCAGCCCCCAGCCTGGCCAGCCGCCCCGTCCGGGAGGTGAAGGGCGCCTCTGCCCAGCCACCCCTACTGGGAAGTGAGGAGCCCCTCTGCCCTGCCACCACCCCGTCTGGGAGGTGTACCCAACAGCTCATTGAGAATGGGCCATGATGACAATGGCGGTTTTGTGGAATAGAAAGGGGGGAAAGGTGGGGAAAAGATTGAGAAATCGGATGGTTGCCGTGTCTGTGTAGAAAGAGGTAGACATGGGAGACTTTTCATTTTGTTCTGTACTAAGAAAAATTCTTCTGCCTTGGGATCCTGTTGATCTGTGACCTTACCCCCAACCCTGTGCTCTCTGAAACATGGGCTGTATCCACTCAGGGTTGAATGGATTAAGGGCGGTGCAAGATGTGCTTTGTTAAACAGATGCTTGAAGGCAGCATGCTCCTTAAGAGTCATCACCACTCCCTAATCTCAAGTACCCAGGGACACAAACACTGCGGAAGGCCACAGGGTCCTCTGCCTAGGAAAACCAGAGACCTTTGTTCACTTGTTTATCTGCTGACCTTCCCTCCACTATTGTCCTGTGACCCTGCCAAATCCCCCTCTGCGAGAAACACCCAAGAATGATCAATTAAAAAAAAAAAAGAAAACTGATAATGCTTAAAATTAAACATGGTGCAACGTATCACTGACTAAAAACTGATATAAGAAAACATTATTCCAAAAAACATTTGGGTATCCACCACTTAACCCAGGAAAGTAGACCGTGTAGAAATAATGGTCCCTACAGACAATTTGTAGAAGCAGAATCTATAAATTATGATGTGAAAAATTCAGGTAATTTTTGTTTAAATATAGTGATCCTGATAAAAATTCAATTGAATTAAAAATTAGAGAAGATTAACTTGAATTAGTTATGTTTTTATAAAATATAAATTATGAAGTTAAAACGTAATATATAAGTATGCTCTGGAAAACACATTCTCAAATGAATAAAATTTCTTTTTATTGGATTAGTTGAATGTTTGATGTTATCTGTTTATTAAACCCAAGGGGATATCACCACCGATCCCACAGAAATACAAACTACCATCAGAGAATACTATAAACACCTCTATGCAAATAAACTAGAAAATCTAGAAGAAATGGATAAATTCCTCGACACATACACCCACCCAAGACTAAACCAGGAAGAATTTGAATCTCTGAATAGACCAATAACAGGCTCTGAAATTGAGGCAATAATTAATAATTAGCTTTCCAACCAGAAAAAGTCCAGGACCAGATGGATTCACAGCCAAAATCTACCAGAGGTACAAGGAGGAGCTGGTACCATTCCTTCTGAAACTATTCCAATCAATGGAAAAAGAGGGAACCTCCCTAACTCATTTTATGAGGACAGCATCATCCTGATACCAAAGCCTGGCAGAGACACAACAAAAAAAGAGAATTTTAGACCAATATCTCCGATGAAGATCTATGCAAAAATCCTCAATAAAATACTGGCAAACCGAATCCAGCAGCATATCAAAAAGCTTATCCACCATGATCAAGTGGGCTTCATCTCTGGGATGCAAGGCTGGTTCAACATACACAAATCAACAAACGTAATCCACCTTATAAACAGAACCAATGACAAAAAAACCATGTGATTATCTTGAGATATCAAGAGATGCAGAAAAGGCCTTTGACAAAATTCAACAACTCTTCCTGCAAAAAACTCTCAATAAATTAGGAATTGATGAGACGTATCTCAAAGTAATAGGAGCTATCTCTGACAAAGCCATAGCCAATATCATACTAAATGGGCAAAAGCTGGAAGCATTCCCTTTGAAAACAGGCACAAGACAGGGATGCCCTCTCTCACCACTCCTATTCAACATAATGCTGGAAATTCTGGCCAGGGCAATCAGGAAGGAGAAGGAAATAAAGGGTATTCAATTAGGAAAAGAGGAAGTCAAATTGTCCCTGTTTGCAGATGACATGATTGTATATCTAGAAAACCCCATCATCTCAGCCCAAAATCTCCTTAAGCTGATAGGCAACTTCAGCAAAGTCTCAGGATACAAAATCAGTGTGCAAAAATCATTAGCATTCTTATACACCAATAACAGACAAACAGAGAGCCAAATCGTGAGTGAACTCCCATTCACAATTGCTTCAAAGAGAATAAAATACCTAGGAACCCAACTTACAAGGACGTGAAGGACCTCTTCAAGGAGAACTACAAACCACTGCTCAATGAAATAAAAGAGGATACAAACAAATGGAAGAACATTCCATGCTCATGGGTAGGAATAATCAATATCGTGAAAATGGCCATACTGCCCAAGGTAATTTATAGATTCAATGCCATCCCCATCAAGCTACCAAAGACTTTCTTCACAGAATTGGAAAAAACTACTTTAAAGTTCATAAGGAACTAAAAAAGAGCCCTCATTGCCAAGTCAATCCTAAACCAAAAGAACAAAGCTGGAGCCATCACGCTACCTGACATCAAACTATACTACAAGGCTACAGTGACCAAAACAGCATTGTACTTGTACCAAAACAGAGATATAGACCAATGGAACAGAACAGAGCCCTGAGAAATAATGCCACATATCTACAACCATCTGATCTTTGACAAACCTGACAAACACAAGAAATGGGGAAATGATTCCCTAGTTAATAAATGGTGCTGGGAAAACTGGCTAGCCGTATGTAGAAAGCTGAAACTGGATCCCTTCCTTGCACCTTATACAAAAATTAATTCAAGATGGATTCAAGACTTAAATGTTAGACCTAAAACCGTAAAAACCCTAGAAGAAAACCTAGGCAATACCATTCAGGACATAGGCATGGGGAAGGACTTCATGTCTAGAACACCAAAAGCAATGGCAACAAAAGCCAAAATTGACAAATGGGATCTAATTAAACTAAGGAGCTTCTGCACAGCAAAAGAAACTACCATCAGACTGAACAGGCAACCTACAGAATGGGAGAAAGTTTGTGCCATCTACTCATCTGACGAAGGGCTAATATCCAGAATCTACAACGAACTCAAACAAATTTACAAGAAAAAAACAACCCCATCAAAAAGTGGGTGAAGGATATGAAGACCCTTCTCAAAAGAAGACATTTATGCAGCAAAAAGACACATGGAAAAATGCTCATCATCACTGGCCATCAGAGAAATGCAAATCAAAACCACAATGAGATACCATCTCACACCACTTAGAATGGCGATCATTAAAAAATCAGGAAACAACAGGTGCTGGAGAGGATGTGGAGAAATAGAAACACTTTTACACGGTTGGTGGGACTGTAAACTAGTTCAACCATTGTGGAAGTCAGTGTGGCGATTCCTCAGGGCTCTAGAACTAGAAATACTATTTGACCCAGCCATCCCATTACTGGGTATACACCCAAGGGAGTATAAATCATGCTGCTATAAAGGCACAAGCACAAGTATGTTTATTGCGGCACTGTTCACAATAGCGAAGACTTGGAACCAACCCAAATGTCCAACAATGATAGACTGGATTAAGAAAATGTGGCACATATACACCATGGAACAAAATGCAGCCATAAAAAATGAAGAGTTCATGTCCTTTATAGGGACATGGATGAAGCTGGAACCATCATTCTGAGCAAACTATCCAAGCACAAAACACCAAACACCGCATGTTCTCGCTCATAGGTGGGAATTGACCAAAGAGAACATATGGGCAGAAGAAGGGGAACATCACAATCCGGGGCCTGTTGTGGGGTAGGGTGAGGGGGGACGGATAGCATTTGGAGATATACCTAATGTTAAATGGCGAGTTACTGGGTGCAGCACACCAACATGGCACATGTATACATATGTAACAAACCTGCATGTTGTGCGCATGTACCGTAAAAGTTAAAGTATAATAAAAAAATAAAATAAAATAAAATTTAATTAGAAATGAAAAAAGAAAATTCTACAACTTGAAACTAGATAGAAGATAGATCAGAAACAAAAATAGGAGTAAAGTGTGACTTTCTTCTCACTGTTTGATTATTATAGAGGCATTTTTATTTCATTAAAATCTTATATTTCTGGGGCTAGTTAATGTTATGATATTTTATTTTTAAATAGTTTTATTTTATTTACTTCAGTTAATTTGTAATTTTTGAGGATGCATTGTAGGTGTATATACTTATGGGGTTCATGAGATGTTTTGATGCGGTCTCGCAATGCATAATAATCACATCATAGAGAATGGGATACCCACCCACTCAAGCATTTATTCTTTGGGTTAAAATCTGATTATTCCTTCTTAGCTAGTTTAAAATGTACAATTACATTATTATTGACCAGAGTCATCTCGTTGTGCTATCAAATAATATGTCTTATTTATTCTATTTTTTTGTACACATTAACAGTCCCCACCTTTCCCCCAGCCTCCACTGTCTTTCTTAGCTTCTGAAAACCATCCTTCTGCTCTCTATGTCCGTGAATTCAGTTGTATTAATTCTTCCATCCCACGAATAAGTGAGAACGCACAGTGTTTATCTTTCTGTGCCTGGCTTATTTCACTTAACATACTCTTCTCTTTTATCCACGTTGTCGTAAAAGACAAAATCTCATTTTTATGGCTGAATACTACTCCAATGTATATATGTACTACTTTTTTTATACATTCATTCATTTGTAGACAGTTTGCTTTCAAATCTTAGCTATTGTAAACAGTGCAGCAACAAGCCGATTTTCTTTCTTTTGTGTCAATGCCCATCACTGGGATTGTTGGGTTGCATTGTAGCTGTGGCAGCTCAATTTTTAGCTTTTTGAGGAACCTCCACACTTTTTTATAGTGGTTATACTAATTTACATTCCCACCAAGAGTGCACTAAAGTTTTCTCCACATCCTCGTCAGCACTTGTTATTGTCTGTCTTTGGGATATAAGACATTTTAACTGGAGTGAGATAATGTCTTATTGTAGTTCTGATTTGCATTTCTCTGAGGTTTAATGATGTTTAGCAACATTTATATGTCTGTTTGCCATTTGTATGTTTTCTTTGTAGAAATGCCTCCTCCTGGCTGGGTGTTTCATGCCTATAATCTCAGCACTTTGGGATGCCGAGATGGAAGGATCACCTGAGGTCAGGAGTTTGAGATCAGCCTGGCCAACATGGCTAAACCCAGTCTCCACTAAAAATATAAAAATTTGTCAGGCATGTGTTCTGCATGGGAGATCCATGAGGAAGAAGAAAAGGCACACACAATACTTTTAAGGGTAAACATCTTTTGTCTCAATTATATGGCAATACAGATATAATAAGTAAATGATATGATAAGCAAATTGATATGAGAAGGGAAAAAATATATATATTTTTTATATATATAAATATATATATTATATATATATAATTATATATGTATTTATTTACATTTATTTATTTAAATAATTATGTACATAATTATATAATTATTTTTATTTACAGTTATATGTATAAATTATATACATATATATGTATATATATATATATATACATATGTTTACACACAGCAGACTACAGAGTATGGAGGAAGCATCACCAGACAGAGAAGCAATAGCCTGGGCTCCAGAGTCAGACACTACACTCACCAGACTATGGAGGATTCATCAACAGACCGGGAAGCAACAGCCTGGGCTACAGAGTTGGCCCCTCATCCCTGCAGAGATGGGGAGAGGTCTCAGGAAGCTCTAGTGCCATCTGGGACCCTAGCTCTTTTTGTAAGGAGTTCTTTGGCATAAGGCCGGGTAACGAGGACTCTTCACTACTGGGCTCAAAAACCACAAAAATGTCAAATTTTTGGCGATTGTCTGTTGTTTTTCAATAACTAACATACAGGAACAGATTAAAATAGAAATTTCTCTGAGACACTGGTGGATGAACGCCTGAAGAAACTCACAGAACCTGTTCCGGGACTTGGTGACCATTGTTTGTGTCCATGTTCAATTGAGATAAAATTGAGTATTTAACTTTTCTTCCAAATTTGGCTTCAATTTGATACTCAATTGTAGGAAAATACCCTTACAGATACTTGGGGAAAGCATACTTTATACAGATTACAGATTCAGTGTAAGCACAGGAGAATTAAAAGCACAGTTAATGAAAACCACACCCACCATGGCTGTGCAAGGAGAGTCGTAGTGTGAGAATTGTCAGGGATATACACACAACATTCGGTATGCAGTAAGGTACAGGGACGATTCTCCAACGTAGCCCATTTTTGGTGGCCTCTGGCAATTCCACGCATAGCCAACATTGACTGCAGTTGGCTTCTGTTGCAGTGGTGGCTATGCAGATGATGAATTTATTCTTGGCATCAGACACAGAGACACAGGTACTGACCATTAGTAAACAGGTTATTCTCTGTAATAACCAAAACAGAGGGGAACATAATATTGTTTTTCATCTTTAGGAAACTGTACTATGCCTTCAGTTTCTTCTCCCATAGCTACAAGTTCACCAGCCATAGGAGTAGGATGTGATGGACGCTGTACTCATATTTTGGCTCCAGGATTTAAGCTACGTGTACCAGTGCGTCTGAATCTCCCAGTTCTGTATGTAGCCTCTGTTGGGGCAGAGACATCCTCAGGGGTTAATTGTTGACAAGGTACCACTAAAAATTGAGGAACCCACATCTGCAGTTTTACAGCAAAAGATTCTCGAGTGATATTGTATACAATGATCTTTAACTCTCCCCTGTAACCACTCTGAATTATACCACCATACATTATGCCGTTCATTGCAAGACTTGAATGTGTTTTAATCCATTCATCCGCATTCAAATTTGCAACTATGGTGGAAATTTTGGCCTGTTGATCTGTCTGCTGATTAAATAGTCTGTCGAGAAAGCAGAGACACATGAGCATCAACATGAAAAACAGTGATAATGATAGTGTGCACCAGGATTCAGGTATCTTCCCAGGAGTGTTTTCCCTCTTTATGCCTAATTAACCATTTGTAAAGATAAAATAGAGAATGAAGGTGGTGTCGGTGAGATTGGACATCAAAAGACACAAAAGGAATGTGACATGGTGACCTGAGAAAGGAATAGAGAGAGAAATTAAAATAGACAAAAAGGGGAATCAGCAAGGAGATGGAGGAGGCAGAATAGAAGAGGGGACTCAACAAACAGGAGCAGTTGGTGCAACAGAGGGTGCATCGCATACTTGTACAACGCTTCTTTCATTTTCTAGTTACTTTTCCTTTTAAATTTGTGTCAGATTTAGTTAAGGTGTCAACGTTTTTTTAAATCTTTTTATATACTGAAAATATTCTTTGCTGTTTAGTAAATAACTTTCAGTATTTCAATTTGCTCTTGATAAGAGTATTAATTTTTAAATCAACAGACAACATTCAGTAAAACTAGTTAGTCTAATATGCAGCAGCTTCTTCTCTTCCACATGTGATTTGGGAATTTAATGCACTGTGAGACGAAATTTCCAAGTCTATGATGTCTTTAAGTTCCCTTTGCTCTTTTTTTTTTTAGCAGATATTGAAGAATGGGCTGGCTGGGCATGAAACTTTCTTCCACCAAGACCATCTTTTCATGATAAATACATTGTCCTGAGTTATTTTTATAGCTAATCCTCTTTCTTGTTTCCAATTGTCAATTATTACATATTTTCAACTTTATAATTTTGGAAGTTCGATGTGATTTCTCAAAAAAAAGAAAGAAAAAAAGAAAATGCTTGAGTTTAATGTGATTAGAATAACAGAGAAGTTTCTCCTGGTCAAGAGTATAAAATTTGGTCTGAGACCTTTAGCCAGTGCTGGTGACTCTCTGCTGGCCTGTCCTCATCCTATCCCTCCCTTCCCAAACATACACTTACACAGTCACAAGGCAGCTGAGGAGAGGAGAGCACAGACTTTAAACTCTGTATGTGTATATATTTTAAGATAGAACCTTGCTCTGTTGCCCAGGATGGAGTGTAGTGGCACTATCTCGGCTCACTGTAGGCTCCACCTCTGAGTTCAGGCGATTCTCGTGCCTCAGTCTCCCAAGTAGCTGGGATTACAGGTGCCTACCACTATGCCCAGCAAATTTGTGTGTTTTTAGTAGAGTCAGGGTTTTGACATGTTCCCCAGGTTGGTATCATACTCTTAGCCTCAAGCGAGCCACTGGCCTTGGCCTCCCAAAGTGCTGGAATTACAGGCATGAGCCACAATACCCGGCCTGTCTTTATATGATTTCTTTGGCTGTAAAGAGTATCAGTGGTGTCTGTACCTTTCTCAGTGGCTTAGGGTATCGTTTTTAGCAGAGGCTGTGGTAAAGTTTTGCTGGGAATAGGGGCACCAGAGGTTTAGTCATTGGATCCCAGTGGTGGCAGTGGTGAGCTTACCATGCCTGCTTTTGGGTCTCAAGGCAGTTATGCTGGCAGCAGTGTTAACAGGTCCAGGAAGACTAATTATTTGGCCTTCATGTGATTTGCTCAGGTGTCAGCAGTGAGCAAGGTGGGTGGGCAGCTTCTTGAGCCCCTGGACAGTGGTTATGGCATGGATGATGGCAGTAGCAACGACAAGAAAAACCTCTGACTCCCAAGCGTTCCATGCTGGTGTTGGTGTTTGCTGTGATGGGCTGGGAAGGCCAGTTTCTAGGAACACAGGTGGTGTATATATGTGGGTATCAGCTGCGTTAGTAGCTCCAGGTTCAGTGAGTCCATCCTCAGGTCTCAGAGAAGAGTGCTCAGGTGCCAATCTTGTTAGACTTCACTGGACTGAAGTCCATATTTTAAGCACTATCTGGCTCCACACACTCATTGGCCGTTCTTATCATCACTCTGAGCCCATTAACCCCGCAGCAGAAAAACATCAGGAAAGTTTTTAATATTTCTTCTTTGGGGCACAGTATGCAAGGAAAGGAATTGTATTAAGAGATGAAGTAAGTACTCTTATTAGAAAAAGGAACACTTTGGGGCCAGAAATGGACCAGTGTCCAAGGCATGCAGAAAGCAGGAAATAATTACCGGGTCATGGGATGGAACTATGGAGAGTGACTAAAGTTTCAAGATCATAAACCAGTCTTTAGTTGCTCCTAATTTAATTTAATGCAATCCTCACTCTTTGTCATCATTTGGTTTTAATGTATAAAGCTATGGGGTCTGCTTATTGTATGTTTTGTAGTATAATTTGGAAATTAATCTATCAGCTCTTTTTTCTCAGCCCAGTTGGTGTCTTGTCAACTCCTCTGCACGAATTGCTTCTTGTTTTCTCACAGTCCAGCCCTATGTTCTCATGAGCTGTGACCCTGGGGTATCCAGGCTCTGGTTTGCCTGCTGTGGAAAAAGTGCAGCTTTCTAAGCTGGTCACATATCTCTACATTAAATGTACATTGTCTTTTTAAAGCAATGTTCAGACATTCATATATTCTTTCTTCCTGAGGTTTAAGCACCACAAGCAGCAGTCATATAATGGAGAGATTCTCAACAACAGAGTGAGTCTCTGCCATAATTGGATTTATTATACATTAGAAACAGCAGTTACATACTAAATGTTTTACAAAGTGTTTTTTATAATTTTTATTTCCTTAAATATTGCAAATAGAAAATTTAGAGGTCCAACATTTATTTAAAATTTGGCTCTTGTAATTTGCAGTGGAAAGCTTATATGAGTATCTACCTCTAAACCAATTAATTAAAAATGCTCTGGGGTTAACTGGGCACCAAAGTATAAGAAAATTTTAATTAAGTGAAAAAGTCTAAGTAATGACCAACTAAGGAAATAAAAAGGAAATTATACTTTCAACCCCCTTTCCCCCAGTTGCTCTATGCTCTATTTTTTTTCTATTGCCAAGTTGTACAATTTTATTTTTGTCCTTGATAATTGTACTTTATTTTAACGTGACTAGATTATATTTTATTTTATTTTATTTTATTTTATTTTATTTTATTTTGTTTTATTTTATTTTAATGTGACTAGATTTTGCCTCACTCCAGGCTGGAGTACGGTAGCATGATTATAGTTCACTGTAACCTCAACTTCCTGAGTTCAAGTAATCCTCCTGCCTCAGCCTTCTAAGTAGTTGAGACCACAGTTACATGCTATAATGTCAAAATAATTTTTAAAACATTTTCAGTGACAAGGTCTTGCTTAGGCTTGTCTCAAACTTCTGGCCTTAATTGATCCTCTGGCCTCAGCATCCCTAGCAGCTGAAATTTCAAGTGTGAGCCACTGAGCCCAGCTCTTTATTTTTATAAATATTTATCTCTTTAGTTTTTTCTGAAGCATTTTCAACACCTTCACCTGAACTTTCAGGCTTTCAACTCACAGTTGATTTTATCCATTTTGCTATTCATCCTATTTATTCTATTGCTTATATACTTTTGTAACATATTTAATATTTTGAGTTTTAAATTCTTGATACTTATATGTATGTATTTTTAGTTGTCTCTTTTGCAAGGCTGCGATTCTCTCTAGAGAAGAGAATGGGCTCTATGCTTTCTTGAGAAAAGCATTTTATAACATGGGAGTAAAACAGACCCTGTGGAAAATAAAATAAAAGGCATTTTAATCATGATTTTTTATAAATTGCTATTTGGGAGACACAAATTTAGCAAGAAGCTATATCATGTTCCATTCAGATGAGGTTAGGGAGGGACTTATAAAGTTTTACTGCAAGTTTACACAAGTGAAAGATTTTAGCACAGTCTATGATGGACAATGTTTGATTGCCAGCTTAGACTGTATCTAGGCAATCATCAGCTTAATTCAGCACAGCTTTCTCTCCAGGAGGTTTGTGATCAGGCTCAGTATAAACAATCCAAGTCAAATGCAGTTGCCTTTTTAGGACATCTGTAATTTTCCCAGTTCGAACAGGTAAAATTCCACCTGGGTGTGTATGAGTATTAATTCAACTCCTCATGTCCTCCTAGTTGTCTTTAGAGACCTCTCAAATAACTATCTCCATTTTGGATTTCTTTTAATTAGAAATAAAGAGCGCAAGGATTATCACTGGTTGGGAATATAGAAAAATAGTGCCCACCTGTGATTCATCGGACCCCAGTCAGAGAGAAAAGGCCAAGATATGCCTGACAGAAAGGCTTGAGGACCTTTAGGTAATTTATTCCTCAAAAAGAATTGGTTCACACCTGTAATTCCAGCACTTTGGAAGGCCAAGGCGGGCAGATTATTGGAGGTCAGGAGTTCAAGACCAGCCTGACAAACATAGTGAAACTAAAAATACAAAATTTGCTAAACATACTAAACGTACAAAAATTAGCTGGACATGAAGCTGGGTGCCTGTAATCTCAGCTACACAGAAGCCTGAGGCAGCAGAATCTCTTGAACCCAGGAGGTGGAGATCGCAGTGAGCCAAGATTTTACCAATGTACTCCAGCCTGGGTGACACAGCAAGACTCTGTCTCAGAAAGAAAAAATTGGATAAAGAATTGCCCTAATGCTGGGAATTTTACCTCATAGGTAGTAAAAATATTTACAGAATAAGGCCCAGGTGTAGCCATAAAGTGGCATTACAATTCTTTCATTCTAGATAAGAAACTAACTTAAAAAAAGAATAGAAATTCTAAGGTAAGAGACAAAACTCTGGGAGGATTTACATCTAAGGTAAAGGCTCAATCACAGGACACCAGAAGAAGATTGAGAATGCAGCTTCCTTTCTGCCCTGCATCCATTGTCAATAGACTTTCCCTGGCCTTCTCCTTTTGACTTTGGTCATTTTATTTTATAATGTTTTTTTCCACATAGACCTGATGCAACTCCAGAGTTGGAAGAAAAAACAACAATGTCCTAATAGTTGCTTAGAGGAAACCTCAGCAAGTGAAGCAGAAGTTGATTTATTTTTTGTAAAATCATAGAAAGGTATTCATCCTCCTGATCTCTGCAACTGCTTTTTAAAGAAATCTATATTTCCAAGACTGTCGCTATGCTTTGTGAAAATACCTTCAAATTATTAATTCTGCAAGTTCGAATGATCTATCTTCACTCTTTCCTTGGGTTAATATTAAAATGAACATATGCTCTGAGAAAAATGGACCTGGGTGTCTTATCCGGCAGCCAGAAACTATGACTGCTTTTCTCTTCTTCCTCATACATTATGCTGCCGACTCTTTAGGATTTCATAATTCAAGGAGAAATGTTAGAGTCTGTATCTCATTTAAGCTTACACAAGTGAAATAAAAAGAACCACAACCACAACTCCGATTTTGTAGTAGAATGAGATTTTCATATAATATTCGACTCTAGCATTTACTATTTACGAAAAATAAATATTTCCCCTCCTCTCTGGATAAACACATTCTGGGGAAGAGCTCTCAGGGAGATGGAGAAGAGCTGTCTCTTCTTCTTCTGATTTTCAGTTGTTCCAGCAAATGTCTCACAATATTCTTTACATTGAAGCTGCAGGAAATGAACCAAAACACCAAGTGCCTTAGTTGGGCCCTGCTGCTGAGGAAGAGGCTGTGTTTGAGCTGGTCTCAGTTTGCCCTGTCACTGACATAGGACTCTGTACTGGGGCCCGGCTACTAGATGGAAGGGCTAAATTATGTTGGGACTTCCCTCAGAATTATGGCTCACCCTCCTCCCTCATCTGCATTCTGAGCTCCAGGCACTGTGTAGAGCACTCCGTTCATTGACAGTTCCCATGTATCCCTGATATGTGAGTCATCAGCACGGCTGCACTTCACAGAGGACAAAATGAAATCGAGGGGAGGAGAGGCAACTCTCGCCACCTGCAGGACTGGTCAGTGGTGGAGCCGGGATCCCAGAGTCAGCTTTTAGGATCACTTCACTCACATTAAGCCCAAAACTTCACTGAGCCTTTTAAAATAAAGGGATACTGATTGTCCCACCTCACAGCCCTCGGGTAAAGCTAGATCAGGCTCAATGTGGAGGGCACTGAGCACAGCACAAGTTGCATGTGAGTGGGGACTGTCATTGTTTCCTGGGGCCCTCAGGTTTGGAGGTTTCCTGCCATGTAGTGACAGCTGGCTTAGGGGGCATTAGGGGAGGGGCTTCCCCACAGTTTGTTGCAACAGCCACCTGGCTCAACCAGGAATGTTCCAAAGTCATCCAGATAATTTCCCAGATGACCACTCAGTCATGTGGTGTCCTACTACCCATGGGATACAGCCTAAACTTTTTATCATAGGAGGAATAATTTCTAGTGTCTGACAGCACAGTAGGATAACTACAGTTAGCACTAATTTTTAGTATATTTTAAAATAGATAGAAGAGATGGCTTTAAATTCTCCCAACACAAAGGAAATTTTTCAAACACAAAGAAAATAATATCCATGTTTGAGGTGATGGATATTCTAATTACCCTGATTTGATCACTGTACATTGCATGCATGTATCAAAATATCACTCATGCACCACAAATATATACTATTATTATGTATCAACAAAGGGAAAATTGCT
Source organism: Homo sapiens (assembly GCF_000001405.40). Taxonomy (NCBI): domain Eukaryota; kingdom Metazoa; phylum Chordata; class Mammalia; order Primates; family Hominidae; genus Homo; species Homo sapiens. The sequence continues at coordinate 5,757,079 of NC_000021.9, read as the reverse complement.
AAAAGTGGCTCCCAACTAAAAAAAAAAAGTCAATTTCTAAGTCACAGAAAAAGATGCTCACTTTAAATTGTAAGTTCTGTGACAGAATGTAAAGGTTTGCATAGTCACTTTTACAGTCCCAGACTATCATGCATAGAACTGCCTGGCCCCGTGTGTATGTACACACAGAGATACAACCATGCTTCTCTAGTGGGGCATTTTTTTCTCCCTGAAACATTTGCCAATGTTTGGAAACCTGTCTTGCTGTCTGGTTATTTTAGTAAATTGATTGTGACTGTAATTAGGCCCAATTTAATGACTGTAATTAGGCCCACTTGCTGTCTGCACATAGATGATCAGGGGCAAGTAGTCGAAGATATAGTTAAAGACATGATGAAACTGGCACATGTGCCAGTACAGGTGTGGCACCGATTTGACACTGAGGCCATGTTTGAAAATGGTTCCCGGCACTAGAAGGATTTAAAACTCTTATAATGGAAACTATAGTAGTAATAGGAACCTGCTTACTGATCTCTTGCTTACTAGCTGTACTCATTCAAGTGGTAAAAGTTTTCATGGCAACTCTAGTTCACCAGAACGCTTCAGCACGAGTGTACTACATGAATCACTATCAATCTGTGATAGAGGAAGACATAGGTAGTGAGGAAGAAGGTGAGAACTCCCACTAATAAAATGAGTGAGAGTCTCAAAGGGGGAAAATAAGGGAGGAGACCAACCCTCATATTGTCTTATACCCAATTTCTGCCTCCAAAGAAAGAAGAAGTAAAAACTAGAAGGCAGAAATGAAATCCACAAGCAGACAGCCCAGCGCCACACCCTGGGCCTGGTAGTTAAAGGTCAACCCCTGACCTAATCGGTTATTTGCATAAAAAATGCACTGTGAAGATCCCTGTCCTGTTCAGTACCTTTCTAATTACCAGTGTATGCATCCCCCAGTCACATACCCACTGCTTGCTCAATAGATCGTGACCCTCTCATGCGGACCCCCTTAGAGTTGTGAGCCCTTAAAAGGGACAGGAATTGCTCACTCGGACGGTTCAGCTCTTGGGAAAGAAGTCTTGCTGAAGCTCCCAGGTGAATAAACACCTTCTTTCTTTAACTCAGTGTCCAAGGGGTTTTGTCTGCAGCTCTTCCTGTTACATTGGGAGAGGCCAATGTGGGCAGCGACATGGGGAGGCACAGATCCCTTAGTGGTGGCTGTGTGCTCTGAGGCGAATGTGGGGAAAATCAGACCTAAGATGCTTCATATGGCTGATAGTACCAGCTTTACAGCTGCAGCAGTCTGCGACAGGGGAAGGCATGGTCCTGGCTAAGCAGCATCTGAAACTCCCGCAATAGGACCAGGTCTGGTGGACTCAAGAGTGAAAGTCAGAGTGAAAGTGAACTGCAAGAGAGGAAATGAGAGTGAAAACATCAAAAGTGGCTCCTTTGAAAAGCATAATAAAGAATTTTAAAAAAAGAGTTAGAAGTGATTATAGGATGAAACTGAGTGTTCAAAAGTTAAGGACATACTGTGAATTAGAATAGCCCTGTTTTAGTGTCAGATGGCTTGCCAAAGGCACTATAGAAAAATTGGCCGTGTGTTTTAAGGTGGTGACTAGGGTCAGAGAACAGCCAGGACATTCAGACCTAGTCTTTATATTGACTCATGGCTAAATGAATGCAGCCCTGCCTAGCAGTTTACTGTAGAATGCTCGCAGCTCACGGCAAGAGAAAATCAGCTGCTCTGGCAGCTACAGAGTTAAAAGGAGACACAGAGGCTTGTAGCACCTCCCAGCCAAAAGTGAAAGTAAAATCAGCTGCCCCAGCAGCTGAAGACAAATGAAAAAATCTCAGAAAAGGCAGAAAAACCGGTTTTGTAACAACCACAGAAAAGAATAGAGACCGCTCCTCCTTACATTCCAATCTACCCCCTTTACCAAGGTAACTGTCCCTAAGGAGTTAAGTTCAAATGGATACATGCTGCCAGTCTCACCCGAGAAGGTGAAATGAGAGCGAAAATCAGGCAGGCCGTCTCAGGTCTGGTCGTGCATAAGATATGCTCATGCCTCTTAAGAGGACAGGAGGACCCCCACTAGGACCCAGATGATGCAGTCCAGATTCAGCACCTACAAAGGTGCCGAGAAGCCCATCTGCAAAGGCTAAAGGATGGTAAAAGAAAAAGGCAATCAATATTTTTAAAAATCTCAGACATGCTTCAGGGTGCAGATAAAAGCACAGCAAGTTCTATGAAAGACTTTGTGAGGCATTTTTATTGTACACTCCGTTTAACCCTGAGGCTACTCAAAAATCAGTGCAGGGTGAATCCAGCACTTGTAAGGCAGACCCAAGGAGATATCAGGCATAAATTGCAGAAGTTACAAGCTCCGTAGGCGAGAATGCTACTCAGCTTATTAAAGTGACAACCAAGGTGTTAATTAACCGAGATGAGGAGGCAAAGGAAAAGGCTGATCACAGGCTTAAGAAAGGCTAACTTACTAGCAGCAGCCCTTCCGGGAAGAGGAGCTGGCTTTACAAGGAGGCATGGACGCGGGCGTGAACGTAGTCATGAAAAAGGCTAGTCTGGACAGGAGTGTGAAGGCCAGCCGAGGCTAGAGAGAGATTAATGTGCATGGTGCAAAAGGAAAGACACTGGAAGCATAAATGTCAAAGAAATAATGAAAATGATCAGGGCAATAGTAAAAGAAACAAAAAACAAACCAAAAAAACCCAAAAAAACAGAACCAAAAAATCACACACACACACCAGCCAAGGGCTACTACACGCAGAAGAAACCCAAGAACCACTGCACCTGCTGTAGAAGGCAGAATAAAAAGTGTCAGAAAAAAGCTCAAATCTCCTCTAAAAGTGTCAATATTTAAGCTTTTATATAAGCCAAGAGGAAAGATGGCTTAGTCCTGAAAAAAAGCAGGCTGTTTGTGCACTTTCTACTCCAACCACCCGGTGTCAAGTAAGAGAGTTTCTAAGAGCAGCAAGGTTCTGCCGCGTTTACAACCCAAATTTCTTGCTCATGGTCAAGCCATCATACCAAGCCACTAAGAGGAGGAAAAAAGGAGCCCCTCCTCTAGGAGGCCAAAGAGGAGAAGGATTTTAAAGAAATCAAAGAAGCCTTGACTCAGGCCCCAGCTTTAGGACTGCCAGATCTAACTAATCAAGCTTTTCTTCTTGTATGTCCACAAGTGAAAGGGAGGCCATAGGGGTTCTGACTCAAGCCATAAGGTCATGGCATCGCCTGGTGGCATATTTATCCAGGCAATTAGATTCTGTTGCACTTGGATGGCCTCCTTGTCTTAAAGCACTAGCAGCCACTGCCGTACTGGTGCAGGAAGCTAGTAAACTAACTTTAGAGACTGTGAATACCCTAAATCCGGCTACCTTACTCTCATCGAGTCAGTGCCAGGAGGACCGTTTCATTGTGGTGTGGACGTGGTAGATGAAGTGTTCTCAAGCCAGAGAGATTTGACAGATCAGTCCCTCAGGGACCCAAACATTGAATATTCTACTGATGGAAGCAGTTTCATACTAAAAGGAGCCCGCCAAGCTGTGTATGCAGTGGTGACTTTAGACTCAACAGTAGAGGTGCAGTCTTCATCTACAGAAACTTCTGATTAGAAAGCAGAACTAAGAGCTCTGACAAGAGTTCTCTGGCTAGCAAAAGACCAAAAGACCAATATTTATACAGGTTCCAAATATGCTTCTGCCACTTTGCATGTTCATAAGGTTATTTACAAAGAAAAAAAGAAGACTTTTAACTGCGGAAACAAAGAAATAAAGTACAAGGAAGAAATCCTACAGCTCTTAAACGCTGTATGGGCCCCAAAAGTGACGGTAGTGAAGTCCTGCAAGAGGCAGCAAAAAGCAAGAACACTAAGGGCTAAAAAAGATACGAAGGCAAAGAGGCAAAGAAGGCTGCAATGACAACTCCACCTAAAGAAGATGCCTTAGCTATGCCTCTCCTCCCGGAGATTCCCCTCCTGGAGATCCCAATCTTCACTCCAAATAACAGAGCTTGGCTTCCCCAGGAAAATAAGAACTACATTGAAAGAGGATAATACAAATTCTTCAATGGGAGGCTAGCCATACCTGAAATGGTGACCCCCAGATTTGTAAAACAATTCCACCACCGAACTCAGATTAAAAAAAAAATAAAGACATTATTAAGGCATCATTTTTATCTGCCATGGCTCATTGCTATTACTCGGGCCATTTGTAAACTGTGTTTAACTTACACTCGGAACAATCCACGACAAGATCCTACTCGGCCCATGGGAGTTCAGGAAAAAGGAGCCATGCCCTGTGAAAAACTGCTAATGGACTTCACTGAATGACCCTGAGACGGGGGCTATCAGTACATATTGGTGTTCATTTGCACCTTTTCAGGATAGCTCAAGGCCTTTCCCACCAGGACAGAGAGGGCACTAGACGTGACCAAGGCGTTAAGAGACATTGTTCCCAGATTTGGGCTGCCTCTAACTCTAAGATCAGAGAATGGACCAACATTTGTGGCTAAAATAGTTCAGGACTTAACTCGACTATTAAAAATAAAATGGAAATAACATACAGCCTACAGGTAGCAGATCTCAGGTAAAGTGGAGAGCATAAACTGGACACTCAAGCAGCTGTTGAAGAAATTTTGTCGAAAAACTCATCTGAAGTAATATCAGGTCTTGCCCATGGTCCTCTTATGAGTCAGGTGCACCCCCACCAAAAAACTGAGTATTCGCCCTCTGAGATTTTGTTCAGCTGCCCACCCCCCAGAAAAATCAGATTCAGGGTAATCTCTGTAAATTGGGAAAACTAACTTTAAGAAGGCAAATGCAGGCTTTAAGTATGGCTATACTAAAATGCATGGTTAAGTATGTAAAAAAATGCCTATAAGTCTAACAGACCCAGTACACCCTTTCAAACCTAGGGACTTCGTTTAGGTAAAAAATGGAATTCAACCACTCTAGGACCCATATACGATAGGCGCCATATTGTAATCATGTCTACTCCCACTGCTGTTAAAGTTGCAGGTGCCACACCTTGGATTCACCATAGCCATCTAAAACCAGTGACAGTAGCGAGTCGTGATGACAACCTGTGGATTAGCCAACAAGACCCAGATTGCCCCACTCGAATAGCCCTATGGCAAATCTCAGCCACCGGTAAAAAGGACAACCGCCCTGCTCTGACCACACTGGAGGCTGGTCAGTCTAAGCATGGCTGAAGCTTAAGGATTCTTCAAACTCTGCTCTAGTCACATCCCGGAAGCTGACTAGTGTACACACAGCCGAAGCTAAGAGGACCATGTCCAGATAAGTAAATGTGAATACAATTTATAACCATAGTTACAATTCTGTCAATACTGATTGTTCCGTTGTTATGTTATTACTGCAAATGCTGCAAATGTCTATGCCCAGAGGAAAGTTTTTGTGCCCATGTGTAGTGTAAGCATGTTTCTATTACATACAACAATGTTGTTACCATTTATGCTTATACTGAAAGGGGATAAATCTCTTGAAGGATGTCCATGCTGTGTACACATTACCTGGATAAAAAATACCACAGTTAAAACTCTACTGTACCATACCTACTATGAATGTACAGGAAGCAAATTAGGAATATGCATATACAACCAGACCACCTATTCAGTCTGTGACTGAGGAAATAATCAGCTATATGTATGTTATGAGCCTGGGCTCTTACCCTATTAATTCTATTTTGAGGTAAATATTATATCAGAGGGAGAAACAGAAGGAAAGCTTATAGCTCAAACCAAAGAAATCCCACCCTTCTAAAAAGGGCCTATTTCTTCTTTGATGACTGCCATGCCACGTATGTTCATAATCCTAAAAACCAGATTGTAAGACAAGGACATGCGATCCTTTAAATTTTACTATCTTAAAGCCAGAGCTACCTTTTTGGTCTACAGGACAGACAGCACTATTACCAGTTGATAGACAAGGAGCAGGTCTTGGAGTTCCACTACTAATTGTCAAAAATACTATAAGGACTCAAATGCATCCAACCCCTCAATACCAAGTCATTCTGTAAGCATTTTGATCAGCCAGTGCCCGAGGTTCCCCCATCAACCAAAAACTTATTTGCTCAACTAGCTGAAAACACAGATGGCAGCTTAAAAATTTCTTCATGCTATGTATGTAGAGAAACTAATATGGAGAATGAGTGGCAATGGGAGGCAAAGGAATTAATGCCACAAGATAACTTCACTTTGCTTAACCCTGCCAGTGAACCAACAGCCTCAGCCAGTGTTTGATTGTTAAAAATCTCCATAACTGGAAAGTACTGTATCACTCGATGGGGAAAGGCTTTCACAGACGCAGTAGGAAAAACAACCTTCCTAGGGCAACAGTATTATTACGAGACTAAAAACAAAACTCTATGAAGAAATGCCCAGAATGACTCCTACTTACCAGATCCAAACACTTTCTCTGGATTCCTTACTCTAAGCTGCACTTGGCATCAGGTAGATGATTCAAATGCTTGAAAGGCACCCTCTGGCCTATATTGGATCTGTGGAGCATGGGCATATTGGCAACTGCCAGCAAAATGGGCAGGGACATGTCTGTTAAAAGCAATCAAGCCATCCTTCTTTCTAATTCCTCTAAAGCAAGGGAAATTCTTAGAATATCCAGTTTATAATAAAAATAAAAGAAGAACTAGAAAAAGCATAATCACAAAAGTAACAAAAATATCAAAAAAGATGTGGACACAGGAGACTAAAAAGATAATAAATGACCTCCTGAAAGAATCATGACATGCTATGGGCCAGCTACCTAGGTGCAAGACAGGTCATGAGGGTACTGCACCATAATCTATATCCTCAGCCGCATCATGAAGTTGCAGGCAGTCCTTCAAATCATAACCAATGAAATATCGAGGGCACTAGATTTATTGGCAATACAAGCAACACAAAAAGGAAATGCTATATATCAAAATAGGCTGGCTTTAAATTATCTCTTATCCTCCGAAGGAGGAATATGTAGAAAATTTAATTTAACCAACTGTTGCCTAGAAATCAATAGCCAAGAAATCAATATTAGTGGTCATAAAAATTACAGCTAGAATGCACAAGTTGGCCCAGGTTCCACTTCAGACTTGATCCAGGTAGTCCCCGGATTCCTTGTTTGGAGGATGGTTCTCAGCATTTGAAAAATTCTAAACCCTCATTAGTAGGTTCTTGCTTATTCTTTGCATCTGCCTTATCCTCCCTTGCCTTTTGTCTCTGTTTATTAGGAGTATTCAGTCAACTATGGAGGCAATGGTAGCCCAAAACACTACTGTACAGTCTGTACAGTTGATGCATTAACCAGATATCAGCCACCGCCAGAAGAAGAAAAAGCTCAGCTCCATGAAGACTTGGCAAATAATGGTGCTTTCTATTAACACCTCTGTTATAAAAAGCACCAATGGGGAGAATGGAACAGGAATTATAAGAGATTAAAGAGTGTGTAAGCAGAAACTCACTTGTGTGTAAGAAAACCCAACTTCTGTTGAGAAAGAGTAAGAGCTGGAGTCCTTTAAAAACTAACTGCCTGTTTTTCTGTGGCTAGTGATCCTTATCTCTCCTCCTTTCCCAGGGATTGTGAAGACCCTGTTTCCCAAGCTGTGAAGCTGCAAGGTCACTAGACAGATAAATTCAAGTCACAAAACAGGTTTTTCCTTGAAAAGTAAGAAATAATGTAATGCATGTCTCAATTGAATAACTGTCTTTGTTTCTTGCTTCTGTAGTATGATTCTCCCTGCACAAATCTCTCCCCACCCATGAAATGCTTAAAAGGTAACTTAACTCTTTGTTCAGGACTCATTCTTTGGATGTTAATCCACTGGACCAGTGCACCTAAATAATTAATAAATACCCTCCTGAACCCCATCGGCCTCTCTGATTTCTTAAAATTCCACTACATACAGACTTCTCTACTATTGACCCCCACATTCTTTTCTTCCACACAGGAAGTCCACATATAAAATCGTGTGTGAAACTATTCTATTTGAGGTGTATTTCTGTGCCCTAGGATCCAGATAATCCCTTACATTTTAAATTCTTGCTTTTTTGTGGCTCACAGTATGATGTTATCAAAAATTAGGCAAATATTCTGATACTTTCTTAATTTTACAAGGGGGAGAATTGTCCTTAGATAATTACATTCTGGAAAGGCCATAATGAGCAACTCTGGACCTGATTGATTGTCATTTTTGGGTCCACTGCAGGGCTGCATACTAAGGGACAGTGGTCATTCTGAGTTCATAGAAAAAACCTGACATGAGAGGGGACATTTTGCTAGACATGCCACCTGGTGCACAGAGCTGAAAAATGAGACCTGCTGGTGACGTGCTTATCAAGCTTAGGGTCTTGAGGGCTTTTTAAATTCAGTGCTTTAAAAGCTGGCCTCACATCCTGAGTTCAGAAAAACCAAAATTTTTTGTTTTCTATAGACTTTTTGGTTGAAAATCCCTTTTCCATGGACTTTTAAACTAGTTATTTACAGCACAAGCCCCATGTCTAGTAACAAAGGTGTCAGCCATCTTCAAAATGTGTTTTTATTAATACTTTATTTTTAAGCTTTATTAACTAAAGATATATTTATTTATAGTCACTTTGAGTCTCCAGGATAAATATTAGTCTTAAATTGTTATTTCTCATAAAGTCTTGGAGGTTGCTAAGTTCTACTGTTTTGCACGTAAAGAATCAAGAAACTCTTTAGTACAATATTAGAAAATACTTGTATTTACTTAGATTTTATAGTACTATTTTTATTTTTCTTTTTATTTCTTAGATATAGGTACTCAAATTTCTACAAACTGACAACATAATATGCTTACTTGAAAATATTACCAGAATAATTGAAGTTGATAATTAAAAATGAAAGATAAAAAATGTGAGAATTGCTGAAGCCTTGTGGTGGGTATGTATGATAAATGTTAGTTTATAATTCTCCCTATGTTTGCTAAGATTTTTTATTTTCATAATATCTTTTAAATATATAATTTAAACATCTTCTCACATGTTTTATCAATAAATTTAGGAGTTCAATATTGAATTTGAGTGTTGAAATTGGTTACAAATGAGGGACAAAAGAGCAGCTTTCTAATTGGCCATACACTAAAAGTACCAGCAACTGTGGACAGGGGTGCCACTAACACACTTTATTTAACATTTTTGCTGTGAGTCATTTTTGATAAGGAATATTTTAACCTTATGATGACATCATAACAAGTTTCTAATAATCAGTGACTCAGAGTGGTCTTCAATAGTGTACTATTATTTAATTTACATTTCTGGCCTGGTAAATCTAAGCAGGTAATTTATGTCTATTAATACATTTTACAATTGTAATTTTTTTCTTATAACTATTTGCCATGAAGATTTTAATGTTATAACTATATCTTTGTCTTTTCCTCTTTATTTAACATGCCTTGAGATGAACAATAAATGGGTTTGGTTTTACAGTCTGTGACTTAGTTCTCCAAAAGTCAACAGTTTCATTTGGAAACATTTTAGAGGGATATAATCTTATAACAAAACCATCACATGTTTTAAGTGTACAATTCCAAGTTCTTAAAGTGTATTTACAGACACCCATAACCACAATCTAATTTTGAAATCACCTTATCACTATGGAAAAAGAAATTAATCTCTTTTGTACTTACTGATTTCATTACCCTGGTCATAGGCAATCATTAGCCTGTTTTTATATATAAGCCTTTTATTAAAAGTTATTTTAAGTGAAATCATAAATTATCTGCCCTTTTGCATTTGGTTTATTTTACTTACTTTAGTGATTTTGAGGTTTTTTCCTGACATAGCAGGTATTATTACTTCATTTTCTTTGTTTGGCACATAGTATTTTATTGTATGGACACACCACACGTTATTTTTTCTGTTATTATTTGATGGATATTTTGGTTTTATCCCCTTTGGGCTATTACAAATACTGCTCCTTTGATCATTTACATCTGATTCTTTGTGTAGTCATAGGTTTTCATTTCTTTTGAGTACGTAACAGAGTAAAATGTCTCAGTCATATGGTGATACTATTTATAGCATTTTGAATAATTGCCAAATTGTTCTTTAAATCGGTTGTTTTTTACACTCCCACATACAATGTGTGAGGCTTTCATATTTTTGATATCTTTGGCAACCTTTTTTATTGCCTTTTACAGGTCTTCTAGTAAGTATGTCATTGAGCTTTTGATTTGCATTTCTCTAAACTAATAATGTCACATATTTTAAATTTAATGACAAATTTTGCTTCTTATCTGTAGAAATTTTTAATTCAAATTCCTTGCACATTTTTCAAGTAGTCAATTGTCTATTTATTATTGATTTATAAGACTTTGTGTATTTGAGCAAGATGGCTGAATAGACAAACCAAGGTGGAACAGCTGACACCAAGGGACCAGGATGACTGGCACACTCTTAACCGAGGGCAGGTACTGATAGTGATGGAGGAAAGACACAACATCTGAACTTAAGATTCAGAAGCTGGGAACCCTGCACAGGGCTAAAGCACAGTGGAACTGATTTCTGGCCCCCAGTGACTCTGAGAAAAACAGGTGAGTTTAAGTGGCAAGGAGCTACCTGCTTTCCTGACTGGCCTCTGGAATCCCACTGGCAGAGACCCTCTGACCATCATGGAAAATGAGTTGAAAGGAAGAGCTGCTTAGAGAAGTGACAGGGGCAGCACACCAGCCAGTGCACAGCCAAGAGGGTTTATTGTGGGAACATGTGTAGTGAAGCATGTCCAGGGATGCCCACACCAATAAGCTTAACTTGCTCCCATAAGAGACGTTAGCCCTAGGGGAAATTTTGGACAAAAAGTCTGCAGGGTGGTGGCCCATCAGATGGGGCTGTTTTGACCTGAGCTTGCGTTGGTGTGCTGGCCTCTCCTGCGACCCCAATTCGGCCCTGCATGCTTGCAGTGCAGCCTTGAGTACCCTGGGGGCCTGCATCATAGATCCTGAACTGGCAGATCATGTCTGACTAGTAGACAGCTCCAGTGGGGTGACCCCATCCAGGCATCAGCCTGCCTGCTGCCTCTCCTCACTGCAGCTTCCCCCCAAGGCCCATTGCCACCCCACACATCACTATGCTGGTGTGTGTGTGTGTGTGTGTGTGTGTGCATGGAAGGATCTTGCTTTCCCTGTCCTGTCAGTGCACATGTGCATATGCATTCTGCCCTGGCACTGCTGTTGGTAGGAGTGTACTCCAGGCCCCCTCTCCTGCTATACCACCACTGCAGACAGAATCTTGGGGGAAACAGAGGCCATCTGCCCCACAACACCAGCACCCTGCTCCTTTGTCAACACTGTCATTTGAGTACAACTAAGCACAAAAAACAGCATACTCTCCTCAGCCCTGAGCAGCCACCTTCGCCTGCATGAATACACACAAAACCACTTGACTGAGCCAACCTTATAACACAATTAAACCCTTAAGGTCATCAAGCAGAATAAAAGGAAAAATCCAAAAGTTGACAACTTCAAATATTAAAGAAATATCACCCCAGAAAGATAAGAAAGAACAAGCACAAAACCTCTGACAACTCAAAAAACCTGAGTTCCTCTTTTCCTTCAAATGGTCACAGTACCTCTCCAGTAAGGTTATAAATCAGTCCAAGATAGCTAAAATTACAGAAATCAAATTCAGAATATGAATAGAAATAAAGATCATTAAAATGCAGAAGTAACTTGAAACTCAATTCAAAAACGTTAAGAATCATAATGAAATGATACAGGAGCTGAGAGACAAAAGAGCCAGTATTAAGAGCATAACTAACCTGAGAGAGCTAAAAAAATCACACTAAATTTTTTTATAAGAAATTCACAACTATTAATAGTAGAATAGACAAAGCTAAGGAAGAATCTCAGAGTTTGAAGACTGTTTATGTGAAGTAAGACATACAGACAGAAATAAAAAAGAGTAATAAAAACCCCCAAGCCTCTGAAAAATATAAGATTATGTAAAGAGACCAAAGGTATGACCCACTGGTGTTCATGAAACAGGTGGGGAGAATGGAAGCCATTTGAAAAACATATTTTAGGATATCATTCATGAGAACTTCCCCAACCTGGGGAATGCTGGCTAGAGAGGCCAGCATTCAAATTTAGGAAATGCAGAAAACTCCAGTAAGATACTTCATAATATAATAATCACCAAAACACATAGTTATCAGATTGTTCAAGCATGAAATAAAAGAAAAAATGTCAAATGCAGCTAGAGAGGAAAGGGAGGTCAACCACAAAGGAAAGATTATCAGTGTAAAAGTACGCCTTTTAGCAGAAATCCTACAAGCCAGAAGAGACCAATACCAATATTTAACCTCCTTGAAGAAAATAAATTCCAATCAACAATCTCGTATTTGGCCAAACTAAGCTTCATAAGTAAAGGAGAAATAAAGTTCTTTTTAAACAGGCAAATGCTGAGGAAATTCATTACTACAAGACATGCCTTACAAGAGCTCCTGAAGGAAGAACTAAATATAGGTGAAAAAAACCTTTATTAGCCACTAAAAAAACACACTGAGGTATACAGACCAGTTGCGCACAAACAAGTCTGCATAATAAGCAGCTACCATTATAATGGCAGCATCAAATGCACACATATCAACACTAACTATGAATGTAAATGGGCTGAATGTTCCAATTAAAAGGCAAACAGTGGGAAACTGGATAAAGAACAAAGAACCAATGATATGCTGTCATCAAGACTCATTTCACATGCAATCAGTTTCATAGGCTGAAAATGACGGGATAAAAATCTACCAAGCAAATGGAAAACAGCAGAAAGAATGGGTTGCAACCCTAAGTTTAGACAAACAGACTTTAAAACAACAAAGATTTAAAAAGGCAAAAAGGCATTACAAAATGCTAAAGGGTTAAATTCAACAAGAATATATGTATTCATATTTAAATATATACATTTTAAATATATACACACCCAACACAGGAACACCCAAATTCATAAAGCAAGTTCTTAGAGGTCTTTAAAAAGACTTAGATTCCTACACAATTATAGTGAAAAACTTCAACAACCCATTGACAATATTAGATTATTAAGGCAGAAAATTAACAAGATATTCAAGATCTGAATGCAGCACTGGATCAAATGGATGTAACAGACACTTTCAGAACTCTCCACCAAAAACAACAACATATACGTTCTCATTGCCACATGGCACATACTCTAAAATCAACCACTTAATCGACATAAAACTGTTCTCAGAAATTATAAAAGAATTCAAATTATGACAACCACTCTCCGAGACCAGAGTACAGTAAAATTGGAGGTAAAAGTTGAGAAAACCAATACTCAATACCATATGATTACATAAAAATTAAATAACTCACTCCTGAATGACTTTTGTGTGAATAATGAAATTAAGGCATCAATCAAAAAGTTATTTGAAAGTAATGAGAACAAAGACACAACCTACCAGAATCCCTGAGATGCAACTAAATCAGTGTTGAGAAAAAAACTGATGTTGCTGAACACCCACCACAAAAAGTAACAAAGATCTCAATTTAACCACTCAATATCACAACTAAAACATCTAGAGAATGAAGAGCTATCCAACCCCAAAGCTGGAAGAAGACAGAAATAACCAAAATCAGAGATAAACTGAGATTAGGACACACACAAAGAAACTAAAAGATTAATGAATCCAGGAGTAGGTTTTGTTTTAAATGTGGACTACTAGCTAGACTAATATAGAGGAAAAGAGAGAAGATCCAAACAAAGACAATCAGAAACAACAAAGGGGATATTACCACTGGCTCCTCAGAAATAGAAATAAACATCGGAGAATATGATGAACACCTTTATGCAAAAAAACTACAACACCTAGAACAAATAGATAAATTCCTGGACATGTACACCTTTCCAAGACTGAACCAGGAAGAAATTGAATCCCTGAACAGACCAATAACATGCTCCAAAATTGAATCTGTAATAAATAGACTATCAATTTTAAAAAGCCCAGGAAAAGACGAATTCCCAGCCAAATTCTACTGGATATGCAAAGAAGAATTTGGTATCATTCCTACTGAAACTCCCAAAAATTTGAGGAGGATCATCTTCCTCACTCATCCTATGAGGCCAGCACCCTTCTGATATCAAAACCTGGAAGAAAAGCAAAAGAAAGAAAAATTTCATATCTTTGATGAATATTGATGCAAAAATTCTCCATAAAATACTGGCAAACCAAATCCAGCAGCACACCAAAAAGCCTATCCACCACAATCAAGTAGGCTTTTTCCCTGGGATGCAAGGTTGGTTCAACATATGCAAATCAATAAATGTGATTCATAATACAAACAGAACGAAAGACAAAAACCTCATGATTATTGTAATAGATGCAGAAAGAGCTTTCATTAAAATTCAAAACCACTTTATGTTAAAACTCTCCATATACTAGGTATTGAGGAAACATGCTTTGAAATAATAAAAGTCATCTATGACAAACCCACAGCCAACTTTATACTGAATGGGTGAAACTGGAAGCATTTTTCTTGGAAACTGGCACAAGACAAAGATGCCCTCTCTTACCAGCCCTGTTCAACATAGTATTGAAAATCCTGGCCAGAGCAATCAGACAAGAGAAAAAAATAAAGGCATTCAAATAAGAGGAGAGGAAGTCAAACTACCCATTTGCAGATTGTATTAGTCAGTGTTCTGTGTTTATGGATTGGAAGAATCAATATTAAAATGTCCATGCTACACAAAGCAAGCTACAGATTCAACGCAATTTCTGTAAAAATACCATTGACATTCCTCACACAAATAAATACAACAGCTCTAAAAAATCTTAAATTTATATATAATCACAAAAGACCTAGAATAGCTAAAGCTATCCTGAGCAAAAAGAATAAAACTGGAGGAATCCCATTACATAGCATACATTATTACATTACACAAAATTATACTACCGATGTGTAGTAACCAAAACAGCATAGTACTGGCATAAAAACAGACACACAGGAAAATGGAGCAGAATAGAGAACCCAGAACCAAACCATCCATCTACAGTGAACTCATTTTTTACATAGGCACCAAGAAAATATATTAAGAATAAAAACTCAGTCTCTTCAATAAACAGTGATGGTAAATCTGGATATCCATATGCAGAGGAATAAAACTAGACCTCTATCTTTTGCCATGTGCAAAAACTAAATCAAAATGGATTAAATATTTAAATGTAAAACTGCAAACTATGAAACTTCTGAAAGAAAACATTGGGGAAATTCTAAAAAACCTTGGATTAAGCAAAGATTTCTTGAGTAACACCTCACAAGCACAGGCAACCAAAGCAAAATGGAAAATTGGTATCACACCAAGTTATAAAATTTTGCATGGCACAGAAAAGAATCAACAAAGTCAGAAAACAACCCACAGAATGAAAGAAAATATTTTCAAACTACCTATCTGAAAATGGATTTGTAACCAAAACATAGAAGGCGCTCAAATAACTCTATAGAAAATAAAATCTAATAATCCTATTTTAAAAAATAGGCAAAATATGTAAACAGACATTACTCCAATAAAGACACGCAAATGGCAAATAGGTATATGAAAAGATGATCAACATCATGAATCATCAGAGAAATGCAAATCAAAATTACAATGAGCTATTACCTCACCCCAGTTAAAGTGGGTTTTAGCTAAAAGGCAATAACAAATGCTGACAAGCATGCGGAGAAAAGGGAACCCTCATATGCTGTTGGTGGGAATGTAAGTTGGTGGAACCACTATGGAGAACAGCTTGAAGGTTCATCAGAAAACTAAAAATAGAGCTTCTGTACAATCCAGCAATTTCACTGTTAGGTATATATCCAAAAGAGAGAAAAATCTGTGTATTGAAGTGATAGCTGTACTCCTGTGTTTACTGCAACACTATTCACAATAGCCAAGATTTGGAAGTAACATAGGTGTTTATCGACAGATGAATAAACAAAAAAGTGGTACATATACACAATGTAGTACTATTCAGACATAAAAATGAATGAGATTCTGTCATTTGTAAAAACATGGGTTAAACTGAAGGTCATTTTATTAAGTGAAATAAGCCAGGTATAGAAAGACAAACTTCACACGTTCTCACTTATTTGTTAAAGCTAAAAATTAAAACCAAAGAATTAATGGAGATAAAGAGTAGAATGATGGTCTCCAGAGGCTGAGAGAAGTAGTAGAAGGTTGAGGGCGGGGAGGTGGGAATGGTTAATGGGTATAAAAATATAGTTAGAAAGAATGAATCAGTTCTAGCATTTGACAGCACAAGGTGACTCTAGTTAAGAATAATTTAAGTGTACATTTTAAAATAACAGAAATTGTATAATTTGGTTATTTGAAATCCAATAGTAATACTTCATGTGATGAATACCCCATTGACTCTGATGTAATTATTACACATTGTATGACGGTATCAAAATATTCTATATACTTCATAAAGGTATACACCTACTATGCACCCAGAAAAACCAAAAATAAAAAAATTAGGATATACTTTAAGACAACAAATACTATTACTAGAGATGAAGATAGATTATAATTAGAAGGATAAATTCATGAGGAAAATAAATTAACATATATGAATGTAACAAAAGTTCACAGAAGTACATAAAGCAAAACTGATAGAAATAAAGGCAGAAATAGTTGCAACAATAGTTTCAACAATAAAAATTGCAAGCTTCACTTCCCCACTTACACTATTGGGTAGAAGAACTAGACATAAGAGAAACAAGGAAATAGAAGACATGAATAACATAAACCAAATAAAACTAGAGATATATGGAGAACTCTTCACCCCAAATCAGAATGTATATTCTTCCCAAATGCACATAGAACATTCTCTAGAATGGAGAATATGCTGCATCATAAAAAAAATCAATAAAATTGAAAGATTGAAATAATAAAATGAATGTTTTCTAATCACAAAAGAGAAAATTAGAGACCAAAAAAGCAAGAAATTTGGGAAATGCAAACATGTGTGCATTAAATGACACAATCTTAAATAATTAATGAATAAAAAATGTACAAATAGTGTCAGAGAATATTTTAACATAAATAGACATTTAGACAAAACATAATAAAATTTATGAGACTTAGTGAAAGTTGAGCTCTGAGGGAAACAGCAGAATTACTTTATAAAAAACAAAGAAATCTTAAATTAATAGCTTAACGCTTATGGAAGCATTTAAATAAAAATGAACTACCCAGTTCACCTGGAGCAAACACTATCAGTGGGGTAAAAAGGTAGTCACGCTGACAATCGTAGGAGGAAATACTTGGAAACAAGACACTGAGAATTAGGATAGTGATAGTACTCCTTGGAATCTAGAAAAAAATGGGGATGCTCTAGGCTAGACAGATTCTCAGGAAAAACGCTAAAACACTAAGCTCCCACCTGTTTGTCTTTTAATCTCTGCATGAACAGAAAGTATAGGCACAAGCAGAGTTAGGACTTTATGGCACACATAGAGATTCTAGATGAAAGGATCAGAAGATTCATATTTTGAGAGGGCTAAAATATCTACAGTCTTGCTGTCCTATTAAAGTTTAGTGAAACTATATTGCAGATTCGCATTGCTCACTTCTTCCAGTAATCCAGTGATCTAGTAAAGCTTGATTTTGCCATTTGAATCCTCTGATAAATGAAGTCAGCCTCTAACTTGAGGTACTTTTTGGGATGTTGGAGTTATGGTCACCATGACGTTACTATTGGTTACACTAATTTGTAAGTCAACAATGAGCTTGCTACAGAGCTGTGAAACTGAATTCTGACCCCTGAGGGAGGTCGTTAGCTTGATCTTTCTGTTTTTAGATGGGTCGATTTGAACTCTATGAAAAAGACCACAGGAGGCCACTTGGTAAATAGAAATAACATATTCTAGAAGGAAATTAGACTAAAATAGAAACGGCACTAAAGTAAAAATTAAAATTCATATTCGGTAGAAATTTTATGCCACCCTCTACTATCTCAAGCAAACTTTCTGACTCTGTGGGACTCCCCAATTTACTGAATATTTTCTAAATATCTGTTCCTGGTTCACTAATGGGCCAGGGAAGATGACACCTCATGGTGTTCACTGGGCTGGTGTGGGTGTTTGATCTCATTGTCAGCCAATGAGGAACCTGAATCTGGGGTGATTACTTCACTCAATTGTCAGAACTGAGAGTTCCGGGTTATTGCCACATTCTACGTGTTTAGGCTTCCATATTGAAAATGATTAACTGTCTAATTAAGAACATCTTCTTTGGGGCTGCAAACTGAAATTTATCTTAGCTGCTGATCTAATTGTCAGGCCATTAATTTAGAAGTTCACAATTAGGGTTATGTCTCCAAAGAGATGAACAACAATCAAGCCTAAATCCCTGTCTACTGCAGAGGTCATCACTGCATGCCAGGTTGGTGGTTCTTGGAGAAAGTTGATCTACGTGTCCCATGTATGGGGAAGTCCCAGACCATTTCTGGCAGAATGACTGTCTTAGACTTTTGACCCGTTACTTGAAGTATTTGTCACTACTGTTGACACTTTCAGCATAAAGATCAGCTGACTCCAGCCACATTATGTGTTACTTGAAGCTAATCCATGTCATCTTTTAGGTATTTGAGACCGCTTAAATTCTCTCTTTTTTTTTTTTTTTTTTTGCTTTTATCACCATATCTATTAAAATGAGCCAATAGTCTCATTTTAACTTATTTTCCTCATCAGGGTCCACAGCTTTTGGTTAGGTAATGTGTTGATTAAATGGTTTATTAGTCACCTTCTTTGGTCCCAGAAGAGATTATCTCCTGTTGACTGTCTCTAAGATATAGATAACATTGTTATTGAGTAAAAGGAGCTCACTTCTTGAAGTGCTAGAAGCCAATACTATGACATCAGGTTTTTAAGAGAAAGCAATTTTATACTGAAACGTTACTCTCAAGCTCATTGCCTCCTCATGGATGTCATGGGCAAACTGAAGGGGAGTTGTGATGAAACAGGCAGTGAAAATTCAGACGGTGACCTCAGCAAGGTGATTCTGCCAAAACACCATTTGGCCATAATGATTCCACCAATTTAAGCCAGTTTGTTTATTTCATAAGTAGAGGGAGTTTCAGTGTTTTGGCAAGTTGTGTTTTTGTTTTTTTTTTCTTTTCTGTTATTCTGCAAGCTCAAGATTTTCTGTTAGATACTGGCTTTCTTTTAACTCTGCAGAAGTGTTGCAAAATGATTGGGGCTATAGGAATCTATTTTCCAAATCTGAGTTTCCACACTGACATTCCTGGGCAAGATGTGATTTCTCCTAACTGCAACCTCCAGGCAGCCTGGTTTGTATGATTTCTGAGTAGCAGCCCAGTCAAAAAAGGGGTTATGGAACTCCAATTTAGTTCTGATTATGGTGTATATAAACATTCTTGTCTCTATTACAACTGGATCTACTACATAAAATGTCTACAGCAAAATAGGAGGGGATCAGATAAAGGTACAATTATAAGTATTGGAATGGATCACATTAATTCTGAGGATATAGAAGGGGAGCAACAACCTGAAACCAGGGGAGTGAACGACTTAGATCTCAGGAGCTATGGGAAATGGATAGGCATGAATAACCTCTTTTCCTTCTGAATTGCCCCTGGCACACTCCAGAAAAGTCTGGCAATAATTTTGGGATAGGATGAGAGTAGGGTTAGTTAGACCAGGTGGAAGTGCAAAGACTAAGTTTATTTTTTCCATTCCATCCCCCATATCACCCTTAAGAATCCTTTGGGCTGGGCACAGCAGCTCACACCCAGCACTTTAGGTGACCAAGGAGGGTGGATAACGAGGTCAGGAAATCGAGACCATCTGGCCAACATGGTGGAACCCAGTCTGTACTAAAAATATAAAAATTACCCAGGCAAGGTGGCACATGCCTGTAGTCCCAGCTATTTGGGAGGCTGAGGCAGGAGAATTGCTTCAACCTGAGAGACCAAGGTTGCTGTGAGCTGAGATGATGCCACTGCACTCCATCTTGGATGACAGAGGAAGACTCCATCTCAAAAAAAAAAAAATCCTTTGTAATTATCCCATTTCTCTGCAATGTAGTAATGAAATTCTAGTGAGGAGCATGCGTTCTCAGTGCCCAGTTGTCTGAGGCCACAGTTGAGTTGCTTCAGGGAAAAAACAAACAAACAAAAAAAAACCAAAACGAAAACACAAAAGCAAAAGCAAAAACAAAAACAAAAAACCCTATTGCTTTTGTTTTTTTCTAAAAAGATTAAATGCCCCATGGTTTAAAATAAGCTGGCTCTACAAAACATTGAATTCATCTTTTATTTTCTCTGTGAGCAGAGGCTCCTCCTTCTGTTTTTCTACCATCTAGAGATGAATCTATATTTGTCAATATTGACATAAATTGGAGACATAAATCATGTAAGAACCCTAGACAAGCCTTCAAAATAATCTGAGTCTTGCTCGTTTCTCTTCTCAATTATGTTGTCAGAGAGAGCTACCTGAGATGAAGTCTCTCAGGAATAGTTAGAACATTGCACTTCTAGAGAAGATGGTGAGACAGGGCAAGACTCACAGTGAGAATAAAAGCTTCTTCTCAATCTTTCAGTGTATCTGTTTCTGGTAGATGAATCCAGAAAAGATTCCAGAGCCAGGGAAGAGCTATTTGAGAGGGTAGAATCACTGTAGATCAGAGTACTAGGTCATATGTTTATTAGTCACCTTCTTTGGTCATATTCTCAGTGCTAAGCCTCTGATAGGGCTTCAGAGCAATGTATGCCTGTGAAAATCTCTAATTCCATTTGAAAGATGAAGTTCTGGCTCTGGGAGAAGTCTCCTATCTGACAGAACATCATGCTTCTGTGGGCATGAGATTCTGTGCCCTTCCTCAGCAGACACCACTGACTCAATAATTGTTTAAGAATCATGCATAAATAGGCCTTCCTTATCATGAATCTCTTAAATAACAAAACAGAGAAAACCCATTTATCCACGTTCAAATTGAATAAGAGTGTAAGAAACTTCACAGAAATTGTTATAGAAGGAAACTCTTGGGCTCTGTCCATCTCCAGAAATCTCAAAATTCTGGCACAATCTGTTACAATTAACCTTATCAGAGCTTGAATTTTTTTTTTGCTATATATATTTACCTTTAATTGGACCTTAATTTTGTTATATGTTTTAATTTAATTTTATTTTTTTGATGGAGTCTTGCTGTGTCTCCGAGGCTGTAGTGCACTGGTGTGATCTCAGCTCACTGAAAGCTCCACCTCCTGGGTTCACACCTTTTTCCTGCCTCAGCTTCCCTAGTAGCGGGGACTACAGGCGCCCGCCACCACACCCAGCAATGTTTTTGGACTTTTAGTAGAGACGGGGTTTCACCGTATTAGCCAGGATGGTCTCGATCTCCTGACCTTGTGATCCGCCTGCCTTGACATCCCAAAGTGCTTGGATTACAGGCTTGAGCCATCATGCCCGGCCAAGGATAAACCATTGTTTAACCTTTGTGATAGAAACATCAAATTCCCATATCCCAAGCATTAATAATACTGTCCACTGCAATTGTTATTGCTTATTAACTTTTTGCTATGGTCTGGATATTTGTGTTCCTCACTCTCCACATTCATATTTAAAAACTTAATCCACACGTGGATTCAGTGTGATACTATTAGTTATTGGAACTTTGAGAAAGTTATTAAGTCAGGAGGGCTGCATGTTAACGAGAAAATAATAGTGCCCGTGTGACGGAGGTTGAAAGGAATATTCATGCCCCTTCTGTCGTGTGAAGACATAGCTAGAAGGTGCTACTTGTGAGGAACAGAACCTCACAAGAAAGAGCCTCAGAAAGTTGTTATACAGCAGAACATCTTTCTCTCTTGAGAGATTCTGGCCAACAGTGCTGCATGGTGGACTGTCTTTAGAATGTGAGTTTTTGGTTACCAGAATACTTAGTACTGTTAGGACCTTTCACCAAAGAAATGAGGTCACTTCTTGAAGGTATTATTCTTCTTTCAATAAGACCTATCTTCCTTCAATAAGACCTACTCAAAGGCTTTTCTGCACTGCTGACTGCTCACCATTCTCTCCCAAGTCATCTGATTACTTGTGCACAATTATGCAAATACAGCACCTCCTGCACCAGTGCCGGAGGAAATGGAATGCAGCCAGAGCCACAAGTTTGAGGATACAAGCTGAGTTAAAGTCTTTATGTTTAATGTATTAATTATGTGATGCCAAGTATGTCATTGTGCCTCTCAGGGGCTCCATAGTCTCACAGCCTGCACAGTGGGGATTATGGTGGCATCCAGCTGCAAGGGATCTCATGAGATATGTATAAAATGATACGCATGACTGTTGGGTTTGATATTAAACACAGCTACTGCATAAACTTAGAGAAAGAAACTACAAGGGATGGGACATTGCTTGAATATCTCTCAAACATGCCTGGGTTTTATAACTTGAATCTTGAGAAAGTCATGTCCCCTCTTGAATTTATTTTTCAAACTCCACCATGAAAACATTGAAATTGAATAAAATTTAGATGTTGTTATTCTTTGGCCAGAACAACAACAATAACAACAACACACATTGTAGTACCTTCTCGTTATATTTAGAATCAGGCCCATTTGTCTCACCTTGGCATACGTAGTGCACAGCCTTCATGATGGCTCATAATAATTTTTATTTCCAACTATACACACCCAAATGTAAACAGTAAGTGGTTAGTGACTCACTTCATGGCAGTAGAATACATTGGAAAATAGGGAATGTCACTGCCAATATTTGATTATGAAAAGATTGTCACTTGCTTCTTACTTTCTCTCTCTTGTGATATTGTTTACTTCCTTTTTTCCTGTCTTTCTCTCTGTCTGTCGCATACTTTGCTCTGGAGAAGCGAGCTTCAGTGTTTTAAGCTTTCATTTTTACAGGCTTGTGTGACAGAGAATAGAGAGAGTGCCCTGACCAAAGACAGAAAGAAACTAAGAACTGAGTCAAAACAATAATGCACAACTAACCAGATTGAGCTCAGAAGTGCATCCTTCCCAGTCAAGCTTCAGTTGAGACACAGCTTCAGTCTCATGAGTGAGAGGTGACAGCATGCTGGCAGCCCTCACAGCCCTCGCTCACTCTTGGTGCCTCCTCAGCCTTGGTGCCCACTCTGGCCGCGCTTGAGGAGCCCTTCAGCTCACCGCTGCACTGTGGGAGCCCCTTTCTCAGCAGGCCAATGCCGGAGCCGGCTCCCTTATCTTGCGGGGAGCGGGCAGGAACCGCGGCTGCCCGCGGTGCTTCCGGGCCAGCGCGAGTTCCGGGTGGGCGTGGGCTTGGCGGCCCCGCACTTGGAGCGGCCAGCTGGCCCCGCCAGCCCCAGGCAGTGAGGGGCTTAGCACCTGGGCCAGCAGCTGCTGTGCTCGACTTCTCGCCAGGCCTTAGCTGCCTCCCCACGGGGCAGGGCTCGGGAACTGCAGCCCACCTTGCCTGAGCCTCTCCCCCACTCCTGCCAAGGGCTCCTGTGCGGCCCGAGCCTCCCCAACGAGCTCCACCCCCTGTTCCATGGCACCCAGTCCCATCGACAACCCAAGGGCTGAGGAGTTCGGGAGCACAGCGTGTGACTGGCAGGCAGGCAGCTCCACCTGCGGCCCTGGTGCGGGATCCACTGGGTGAAGCCAGCTGGGCTCCTGAGTCTGGTGGGGACTTGGAGAAACTTTATGTCTAGATAAGGGATTGTAAATACACCAATCGACACTTTGTATCTAGCTCAAGGTTTATAAACACACAAATGAGCACCCCGTGTCTAGCTCAGGGTTTGTAAATACACCAATCAACACTCTGTATCTAGCTAATCTAGTAGAGACGTGGTGAACTTTGTGTCTAGCTCAAGGATTGTAAATGCATCAATCAGCACCCTGTGAAAAGGGACCAATCAGCTCTCTGTAAAACAGACCAATTGGCTCCCTGTAAAATGGACCAATCAGCAGGATGTGGGTGGGGCCAGATAAGAGAATAAAAGCAGCTGCCCGAGCCAGCAGTGGCAACCCTCTCGGGTCCCCATCCACACTGTGGAAGCTTTGTTCTTTCGCTCTTTGCAATAAATCCTGCTGCTGCTCACTCTTTGCGTCCACACTGCCTTTATGAGCTGTAACACTCACCACAAAGGTCTGCAGCTTCACTCCTGAGCCAGAAAGACCACGAACCCACCAGAAGAAAGAAACTCCAAACACATGCTGACATTAGAAGGGAAAAACTCCAGGCACGCTGCCTTTAAGAACTGTAACACTCACCGTGAGGGTCCGCGGCTTCATTCTTGAAGTCAGTGAGACCAAGAACCGACCAATTCCGGACACATGAGGACATTGTGGTAGACCCATTCAACTAAGCTGTGTCAGTATTTGTAGCCAACAGAAAATAAGACATAATGCATATTTGGAATTTTAAGCCACTACACATTGAGCTAATGAGTAGAATTATTTTTTCTAATTTTATTTACTGATTGCCCTTAGTTACTGTATAAAAGTGCAATTTAATATTGTGCATTTATCTTGTATCTTGTGACCTGCTGAACTCATTTATTAGTTCCAGTTGATTTTTGTAAACTCTTTAAAAATTCTTGAATATAAGTTGATGCCATTTACAATAAAAGTTTATTTTATAAATTTAGAAGTTTTATTTGTTTTTATTATATAATTTCTCTGCCTAACACCTTTAGTTCAATTTAGTAGAGTAGCGAAAGTAGCCATGCTTATCTGTTTCCCACAACTGTGAGGCAAAGAGCCTAGTCTTTCATCAGCAAGTGTAATATTAGTGGGAAATTTTTATGAATCCTTTTTAGTAGTTCCAGTAAGTTTTTCCTTCCTAGTATGTTAAGGATTTTATAATGAATCAGTGTTGTTTGTATCACAAGCTTTTCTGTGTCTATTAAAAGGATCATTTTATGTTCTTCACTTTATCAATGTTGTGTATTAAATTATTGGTTTTTAGATATTAAGCCACTTCATTTGTAAAAAGATTGTACTTGGCCATGGTGTATAATTACTTTTACGTGTTTCTGTATTTAACTTATTAGTACTTTTTGAGAATTATGTGTCTTTATTTATCAGCCGTATGTACCCATATTAATCCTAACACATGATGGGTTTGTCTGGCTTTGGTATAGTAATATTGGCCTCATAAAGTAGTTAGGGGTTGTTTATCTCTTATCTATGTATGGTGTGTATTTGTAAAGGATTGGTATTTTTATGAAATATTTTGTATAATTTAACAGTTAAAGTATTTGACTCTGATTTTTCTTTGTGGTAAGATTTTTAAAATAATTTAATCTTTCATTATAGGTCTCATATCTCCCACTTCTTGAGCTTCATTTGTTAAATTGGGCCTATCAAGTTATTTACTTCTAATTTGTAACAATCCATGTTTCCAGATATAGGCAGCTGGTATGCCTGTTATGTGGGATAATGTAGCTTTGTGAAAGTTTTACGTATTATGTGGGATAATGTAGCTTTGTTAAAATCAATAAATAGCCAAGTTTTTACTCAGCTTAAGGATTGAGACTATAATTTTTATACTTCATACTTGCATGTATTGCCTGAGTCAAAAAAGCTATTACATCTAAAAGAAACCAGTGAAACATATCATTTGACATGAAGTTTTATCAAAATGACACATTAGCCTAACCCCTTTTTCACAAATATTTAGAAAAGAAAAGAATAAATTTAAATAAGATTACAAAATAATTTAGTCAATAAAGAATATTATAAGGAATAAAAATTTAATGAATCAGGGTTATTAGTACTTAGTAGCCCCTACAATGTTTTAGAAATTATTCTAAGTCATTTACCCACATATACTTAATAGCTGAGTCTAAAACATATAATACAGAAATTTGTTAATAATGACAAATTGAAATATTTACAATTATATTAAATGACATTAAGACCATCAGAAATCAAATGTTTAACATACAGTAACTAAATAAACACAAGTAATGATAACTTTATTAGAAAGTATGACTACTAGCAAGAGAGAAAAATTAATAAAATTTTTCAGCAGTGAACCAAAGATACACACTGTATGACAGAGGGGGAAAATAAATGGCAAGGGTTTAGGCCTAACAATATCATTCATTTTATGAGAGCAGAAATTCAACAGCTCATATCTTTTAGGACACTAAAATGACAGTAGAAATTCTAAATTGTACTCAACAAGTAATATTTAGCCATGCACAAATTTTGTTTCATTAAATTAATTTATAAAATAAATATAAGATTTCATGAATTATTTTTGTGAGGTCAAGGACATACTAAAAGGAAGCACAGAGTTCTGTTCTCTGTAGTTAAGTATATATTTTCATAAAGGCACATAAAAGAAAATTTTAAGTATCAAAAGAACTACCCCTTACAAGTGACTATTACTACATATTTGAGAGAGATGTTTTGAATGAAGAAACGGAATATCTCATAAGATGTGGTTGTATGCTGCCCAATGCCTATGAAATATTCTACTCATGTGTACACTGCATATTTGTGCTTTCAGAAGAAAAGGCTACATATTTTTAAATATTTTAGTGTAGACAAGTAAAAGTTCTCAAGAAGCTACAAGAACTATGAAAATAATGAATACAGTTTAAAAATATAGAAGCACTTGATGAAAGCTAAAGTAAATCAAGAGAATAAGCCAGAGAAGTAATCAAACTGAAAAAAAGTGGTCCCTTCAGATACTGATAGATCACAAGGATGTCAAGTCTGTATGCTGTCCACCTTCCTCCAAGGGAAAATGGAATAAGCACAGAAATAACATGACTACAGACATCTCAAATGTGATATTTCCCAAATATTGGAACCAAGTTAAAAACTAAAGAACACAAGTAAATAAAAAGAAATTTCTGAAGAAAAACTAGGCCACCATTTTCCATATTCAAATATCATATTTGAATCACAGCTCGGTAGAATGTAAAGAATAAAAAAATTAGGACAAGGTATAGGTGAAACACTAAATTAAACAGAGATAAAAAATTACCTGAGTATTGAATAGAATGAATATAACCAAATATAGTAAAGAGAGATGACATATCATAAGATATAGTTTTAACAAGATAAAGGCTGGGATGAGACGCTAAACATCTTAATTATTTTATTAGAACAAAAAGTATGAATGAGGCAGAGCAAATAAGGCCAGCCAGATCCAAGATTTGGGAAAAGAAAATCTTTCCCTCCATGGAAGCAGCCTCAAGTGTACATTGCAGAGGGCCCAGATCAGAGAGGAATGAGAAGTGGTTGCCATTCTTGCAATCAGTGTTATCCGTTTTCTTGCAGCCCAGGTTTATATAACTGTTCTAAGTCCAGTAAATTGTCTATAGCTGCACATCTATTAAGAGGCTGAGACAGCAGTCAGGACCAACTTTGCTAAATGTCCATAAACTACTCTACCTCATGGAAATTCTCTGGATCTTGGAGACTCTGGAGAGTGACGCTTCTGCAAATAGAGGCATAATTTATTTGAGATTTTTATCCATCTGTTATTATCCTTTACTGTTAGGAATAATCTTCTCTGAAAAATGCTTTTGACCCACCTTGGAAGGTCTTTTAATAGTTTGGGAAAGTGGGGCATGGCAAGGTGGCTCATGCCTGTAATCCCAGCACTTTGGGAGGCTGAGATGGGTGAATCATGAGGTCAGGAGATCCAGACCATCCTGGATAATACGGTGAAACCCTGTCTCTACTAAAAATACAAAAAAGTAGTCGGGCGTGGTGGCAGGTGCCTGTAGTCCCAGCTACTTGGGAGGCTGAGGCAGGAGAATGGCATGAACACGGGAGGTGGAGCTTGCAGTGAGCCGAGATAGCTCCACTGCACTCCAGCCTGAGAGACAGAGCAAGACTCCGTCTCAAAACAAAAAAAAAAAAATTGGGAAAATGGCTGAGGGCTGAGGTTAGAAATCCAAGGTAAAACATTATGTTATATATTTTACATCATAGAAGAAATTTGAGAACACATAGAATACAATCCGCTATTCATAATTTTTTTTGAGCATTTTCAGGCTATGTTTTTGACATAGACTAAGTTGAATTACTGTGCCAGAGACAATCTCGTGTCTAAAAGCAAGTGACATAAAAATAGATCTGCAAAGATACATTTTCTCCCGCTTTAATTTAAGTAAACAGCTGAGTACATCTTCAAGTTGTACTTTGAGTTCAGTAAGATAAATCTGTTTTTTAAGACTCCAAATCTAGCACTAACAATGGGTCAAATCCCTGCAACAGACATGAAAATCACAAACAGCTAATGCGTTCCTCATCCTGAAATTCTCGCTGCCAGCACAGCAGTCTGAAGTTGACCTGGGCCAATTGAGGTCAGTTGGAGGGAGTGGAGTCCACCATTACTGAGGCTTTAGTAGACAGTTTTCCCCTGACGGTGCCAAGGAGGCTGGAAGGTCCGGGTTGGGTGCAGCAAAGTGGCTGTGGCAGACTGCTTCTTTAGAGTCCTCCTCATTGGGCAGGTCATATTTGAAGGAAAGGTAACAGCCCTAGTCAGAGGCTTACACAGAAAACCTCTATCTCCCTGGGACAGAGCACATGGGGGAAGGGGAGGCTGTGGGTGCAGCTTCAGTGGATTTCATCATTCCTGCCTGCTGGCTCTGAAGAGAGCAGCTGATTTTGACTAGAGGGATTCTGCCAGCACAGTGCACCAGCTCTGCTAAGAGACAGACTGTCTCCTCAAGTGGGTTCCCCGTGACTCCTGACTGGGAGAAACCTCCTAACAGGGGTTGACAGACACCTCATACAAAAGGGCTCCAGTTGGCATTGGGCGGGTATCCTCCTGGGATGAAGTTTCCAGAAGAAGGAGAAGGCAGCAATCTTTGCTGTTCTGCAGCCTTTACTGGTGACACCCAGGTGAACAGGGTCTGGATTGGAACTCCAGCAAACTGCACTGGACCTGCAGAAGAACCTTGCTGTTAGAAGAAAAACTAACAAGCAGAAAGCAACAACATCAACATCAACAGAAAGGACCCACCCAAAAAAAACCCCATCCAAATGTCATCAGCCCCAAAGATTGAAAGTAGATAAATCCATGAAGATGAGGAAAAAACAGCACAAAAATGCCAAAAATTCCAGAAACAAGAATGCCTTTTCTCCTCCAAATGATCACAACACCTCTCCAGTAATGACACAAAACTGGATGGAGAATGAGATTGAAGAATTGACAGAAGTAGTCTTCAGAAGGTGGGTAATAATAAACTCCTCTGAGCTAAAGAAGTATGTTCTAACACAATGCAAAGAAGCTAAGTATCTTGATAAAAGGTTATGGGAACTGCTAACTAGAATAACCAGCTTAGAGAGAAACATAAATGGCCTGATGGAGCTAAACAATGCCTTTAAGTTATATGGGACTATGTGAAAAGACCAAACCTACGATTGATTGGTATACCTCAAAGTGACGGGAAGAATGGATCCAAGCTAGAAAACAAACTTTAGGATATTATCCAGGAGAACTTCCTCAACCTAGCAAGACAGGCCAACATTCAAATTCAGGAAATACAGAGAACATCACTAAGATACTCCTCGAGAAGAGCAACTCCAAGACACATAATCGCCAGACTCTCCAAGGTTGAAATGAAGGAAATAATGTTAAGGGCAGACAGAGAGAGAAGTCAGGTTACCTACAAATGGAGGCCCATCAGACTAACAGCAGATCTCTTTGCAGAAACTCTAGAAGCCAGAAGAGAGTGGGGGCCAATATTCAACATTCTTAAATAAAATAATTTTCAACTCAGAATTTCATATCCAGCCAAACTAATCTTCAAAAGCAAAGGGGAAATAAAGTCCTTCACAGACAAGCAAATGCTGAGGGATTATGTCACCACCAGGCATGCCTTACAAAATCTCCTGAAGGAAACACTAAATATGGAAAGGAAAATATGGTTCACCACTGCAAAACCACACCAAAATATAAAGACCAATCGATACTATGAAAAAACTGCATCAACGAATGTGCAAAATAACCAGCTAGCATCATGATAACAGGATCAAATTCACACATAACAATATTAACCATAAATATAAGTGGGCTAAATACCTCAATTAAGAGACAGAGCCTGGCAAATTGGTTAAACAGTCAAGAATCTTTGGTGTGCTATATTCAGGAGACACATCTCACATGCAAAGACACACATAGGCTTAAAATAAAGGGAAGGAGAAATGGCAAATGGAAAGCAAAAAAAGCAACAACAACAACAAAAAAAGCAAGGTTTCAATCCTAGTTTCTTGTAAAACAGACTTTAAACCAAGATGAAAAAAGACAAAGAAGGGCACTACATAAAGGTAAAGGGATCAATGCAACAAGAAGAGCTAACTATCCTATATATATACCTACCCAACAGAGGAGCACTGAGATTCATAAAACAAGTTCTTACAGACCTATAAAGAGACGTAGACTCCCACACAATAACACTGGGAAGTTTTAACACCCCACTGCCAATATTAGACAGATCAATGAGACAGAAAATTAACAAGGATATTCAGGATTTGAAATCAGCTCTGGACTAAGCGGACCTAATAGACAACTACAGAACTCTCCATGCCAGAAGAACAGAATATACATTCTTCTCCATGCCACATAGCACATATTCTAAAATTGACCACATAATTGGAAGCAAAACACTCCTCAACAAATGGAAAAAATGGCAACCATAACAAACTGTCTCTCAGACCACAGTGCAATCAAATCAGAACTCAGGATTAAGAAACTCACTCAAAACCACATAAATACATGGAAATTGAACAACCTGCTCCTGAACGACTACTGAGTAAATGACAAAATTAAGAGAGAAATTAAGTTTTTTTTGAAACAAATGAGAACAAAGAGACAATGTACCAGAATCTCTTGGACACAGCTAAAGCAGTTTTAAGAGGGGATATGCTAGCACTAAATGCCCACAACAGAAAGCTGGAATGATCTGAAATCGACACCCTAACATCACAATTAAAACAACTAGAGAATCAAGAGGAAACAAATTCAAAAACTAGCTGAAGGAAAGAAACAACTAAGATCAGAGCAGAACTGAAGGAGATAGAGACAAGAAAAACTGTTCAAAATCAATGACTCCACTAGCTGGTTTTTTGAAAAGATTAACAAAAGAGACGGACCACTAGCTAGATTAATAAAGAAGAAAAGAAAGAAGAAACAAATAGACACATTAAAAAATGATAAACAGGATATCACCACTGATTCCACAGAAATAAAAACTACCATGAGAGAATACTATAGACATCTCCACACAAATCAACTAGAAAATATAGAAGAAATGGATAAATTTCTGGACACATACACTTTCCCAAGACTAAGCCAGGAAGAAGTTGAATCCCTGAATAGACCAATAAAAAGTTCTGAAATTGAGGCAGTAATTAATAGCCTACCAATAAAAAAACGCTCAGAACCAGATGGATTCACAGCCGAATTTTACCAGAAGCATAAAGAGCAGCTGGTAACATTTCTTCTTAAACTATTCTAAACAATTGAAAAGGAGGGACTCCTCCCTAATTCATTTTATGAGGTCACCATCATAATGATACCAAAACCTCGCAAAGACACAACCGCAACAAAAATTTCAGGCCAATATCCCTCATGAACATCGATGTAAAAATCCTCAATAAAATACTGGCAAACTGAAACCAGCAGCACATCGAAAATGTTATCCACCATGATCACGTCAGCTTCATCCCTGGGATTCAAGGCTGGTTCAACGTATGCAAATTAATAAATGTAATCCATCACATAAACAGAACCAATGACAGAAACCACAGGATTTTCTCAATAGATGCACAAAAGGCCTTAGATTAAATTTAATATCCCTTCATGTTAAAAGCTCTAAATAAACTACGTATTGACGGAAAAAGTCTCGAAATAATCAGAGCTGTTTATGACAAACCCCTAGCCAATATCATACTTAATAGGCAAGTGCCGGAAGCATTCCCTTTGAAAACCAGCACAAGACAAGGATGTCCTCCCTCAGCACTCCTATTCAAGATAGTATTGGAAGTTCTGGCCAGGGTAATCAGGCAAGTGAAAGAAATAAAGGGTATGCAAATAGGAAGAGAGGAAGTCATATTGGTACCAAAACAGATATATAGACAGAGGGAACAGAACAGAGACCTCAGATTGCAGGGATATGGAGGAAGCTGGAAGCCATCATTCTCAGCAAACTAACAGGAACAGAAAACCAAACACCACATGTTCTCACTCATAAGTGAAATTTGAACAATGAAAACACATGGACACAGGGAGGGGAACATCACACATCAGGGCTTGTCAGGGGGCAAAGTGAAGGAGAGCACTAGGACAAATATCTAATATATGTGGGGCTTAAAACCTAGCTGACAGTTTGATAGATGCAGCAAACCACCATGGCAAATATAAAACTATGTAACAAGTCTGCACATTCTGCACATGTATCCCAGAACTTAAAGTATAAATAAATAAATAAATCTCCAGCAAGGAAGGAAACCAGAGATCAGGTTGGAGTCTTGCTATTCACATCTGAGTATACAGACTCACTCCCCAACTCTCTTATTTTTATTCTGCCAGCTCTGACCTGAATATGAACATAACAAACACACAAGAGTTCCAACACCTGACAATCGGCTTCTGCCCAAGAAGTGTGCCCTCTCTTTTGTCCATCCTGCAACTCATGGTACAAAGAAGTGGTGTGGGGCTGCCCAGATGAGATGATGAGAGAGGCCTGGCCTCGATGGACATGTCCTGGGCTGCTCTGTGTTATCTGTAGGTGCACTTGGCCAATGGCCAGGGGTATCAGGAATGAGGGCTGAGTTGATATCTGTGTTATCAGAGAAGGCTTTTACATTGAGGCTTTGTAAGGCTAGAACTCAGAAATATCAAGGCACAATGAAAGGACATCTCACTCTCTTGAGCATCTCTCACCAACAGAGGTGGATACAGAGCTGTCTCAAGAATGTGGGTTCCTGGTTTCTTAACTGCTGTGGGGTTCTGTCACCAGGAAAGTGTGTTAAACTCTTCAAGGTTCCATCTACTGGGCCCCTTATTTCTATAAGACCTACCCAAAGGCCCCACTATGCTATTGATTGCTCAGTCTCCTCTTCCATGTCAACTCTTTATTTGTACACAATTATGCAAACACAACTTCCCCTTAATTCCCTGGAAAGACCTAAATGCATCCTGGGTTCCAGGATATAAGAGACAGCTGGAAAATAACCTTGTTTTTCTTACCATCTCTGGGACCTAATAAAAGTCACTGTGTATTTGAGGCTTCCCCAGCCTCCTAGCGTGCACAGTGGGGATAATGTTATCTACTTCCTAGGGAATGTATCAGATGTATATAAGATAAAATGTAAAAATCGTGGTGTAGTTTCACATGTAAATAATGCACACACTTAGAGATGGAAGCATTAGGAGAATAGGTGGGAGGTAGCATGGGCCACAACTCAGGTAGGCCTGGGGTCCAGCAGTGTAATCTTGGGAAAGTCACTTCCCCACTGGGCTTCAGTTTCATTCTGCTGCAGTACGAGGTTGAAATTAAATGTAGATATCATCCTCTGGCACTGATGTGGTTTAGCTGTGTGTCCCCACCCAAACCTCATTTTGTATTATAACCTCCAGGTGTTAAGGGAGAAACCTGAGGGGAGTTGATTGGATTATGGGGACGGGTTTTTCTTATGCTGTTCTTGTGATAGTGAGTGAGTTCTCAAGAGATCTGATGGTTTCATAAGCTTCTGGTGTATCCCCTGCTCTCACTCACTTCACTTGTTGGCCACCATAATTGGAAGGTTTCTGAGCCTCCCCCACCCAATCTTGTGGAACTGTGAGTCAATTAAACCTCTTTTCTTTATAAATTACCCAGTCCCAGGTATTCCATCATTGCGGTATAAAAATGGACTAATACAACTATTAAACTTTCTAGTGACTTCTTATTATATATAGAATTATATCCATGTGCCTTATCTCACCTAAGTTGGGGAAAGCCTTCACAAAGTCTCCCAGCACTAGGTGGTTAGTGACTCAGTTTGTTATTGAACAAAATGACCTACTGCTCGATGCCAGTAGTATGGCACTTGGGTTTTGAGAAAAATGGCATCTTGTTGTAGGTTGGCCAACAGGAGACAGGAGTCCAGCTGAAATCAGTTTCCTTATATAGGCTTTAAGGTGTTGATTAAAAAATGCTTAAGAAGTGGGCTCTGGATTAGGAGGGGATTGCTGGAAGGAAAGTAGTAATATGGAAAGTCATGAGACATGCACAGTCATCTCCTCTTGTTTCCTCACAGGTCACATGAATATTCAGGGAGTGTTAATATGAAACATGCAACGGAAATTTGGGCTCTAACATCAGCAAACTCATTCTCCATGGACTTCAGTTGGCCATATTGCTTCCAACATATTTCAGCCAATTTTTTAAAATCTTATAAGCAGAGGAGATTTAAGTGTTTCAACAAGCTGTTTCTTATCTTTCATTCTGAATATCCAATTTTTAAGTCTTTTTTTTTTAACAGTTTGAAGGCACAAATTCAGCTTCTGTCAAATGGAATACAGAATAGTGTATGACTTTTGTATTAGTTCAGGCTGCTATACCAAAGAACCATGAACTAGACAGCTTATAGACAACAGGATTTAATTTCTCACACTCCTAGAGGTTGGAAATTTGAGATCAGGGTATCAGCATGGTTGAGCTCTGGTGATGACTCTTCTGAATTTCAGACTGCACACATCAAATTTTATTCTCATTTGGTAGAAGGAGACAGACATCCCTCTGGGGTTTCCTGTGTAAAGCCAGTAATCTCAATCATGATGGCCTCAACCTCAGGAGTTAATTACAACCTATCTCCTTATAGCATTACACTGGGGGTTACAATTTTAATACAAATTATTGTAACTCTCAAGTTTTTTTAAAGCTGTCATTATTCCTCCTACTGGGTTTTTCCTATTTGCTTCCTCAGTCTTTCCATTTCTTTATGTCTCTTTGTGTGAAACTGTTTGCCTAATTCTGTCTCTCAATTGTATTCCTCAAACAGAGGAAGCAAGCTCCAATGCTATGAGATGCTCTATGTACAGACGCACATAACAAAGAACGGAGGGAGTGCTCAGGCAGTAGACAGAAGTAAAGTCATGCTCTCAGTCTACCCTGAACCCTGCCAATTTTCACAAGCATGAGCTTAAAGGTTGATGCTTTTCCGGTCCACATTCAGTTGAGACCACAGCCCCAATCTCATAAGAGACCTGAAGGCAGAGGCAGCTAACTAAACTGTGTCCAGATTCTGGTCCACACAAATTGTGAGATACTATATACTATTGAAAGGTGCTAAGTTTTAGGGCAATGTTGTCAGAAAGGAGCAGATATCTAGCCTCATCTCCCAAGCCCCAGGATTCTCCATGCCTCTGCTTATCTCTTCCTCAGGCTGTCTGTACCAAATTGGTCCCTTTCTAATCTCTGCCAAACTCACACCTGTAAGACTCTTCACCAAGGGTGGCTTCTCACTGACACATTCTTGTGCAGAGATGCCTCCCTGTTATCATTCTCATCATGGATTAAAGATCACCTCAGTGAGGACTTTGGGTCCCCCCATTCAATGACTTTGCAGCTCTTCTTCTCAACATTCTACTTTATATAATAGTCCTTGCTCTTTTCTTTTATATATACTTGCTTTAGTGCTTTTGTCGAGCTGACTTCAGACTGTTCTGTCCTTGGAGGGGTATGCAGGCATGATGTAATCATTTTCTGTGCCACATGTTGGACCCACCAGGGTAGCTGGCAAAGGGTGAGTGCAAGGGAAAAAAGATTGGCTAAGTGGGCAATGTGGAAATTGTTGATAATAACATGAGGTGTGTGACTCTTACTTGCTCCAGCTGCTCCAGCAAAGCTCAATAGGCACCAGAAACACAGCAGGCTGTAACCACCTCCAGGCCATCACTAACACTGCAGCCCCATGCAGGAACATTATGGAACAAATCAGGTACCATTGTTTTGTGTCCTCAAGACACTGACTCTTTGGAGTTCCAGAGGACAAAGGAGCAGAATCTGAAGGCTCCAAGTACACTGAGTGACCTTGGAATCCTCCATTGCCCTCTCTTTGCCTCCACCATTTGGAGTGTGCCATTTACTCATGAGGCACCCTCCCCTTATCCAGGGAAATTATTTAATACGACTTTCAAATGAGGAGCTCAAAAACCCAACAGGAACTGGCATTTTCCCATGACTTCAGACTCAGGGTCCAGTGTTCTGACACGTTTAGCTCTATCCCATCTTTATCTACCCAAAATGCCTCTGGAGTGGCCATGCCTCTCTCTGATTTGAAGGGCCTCCAGGGAGTAGAAGCATTTCTGCAGAGTTTCAGAGCAAAGAGTCTTAGTTCACCAATGAAGAATCAAGGCTGGCAGACACTTATGAGTATGTGAAACAATCAAGGTTACCCACTTCGAGCACCCCTATTTATGAGGAAGAAAACAGTCTTCTCTGTAGCCATTGTCTACATTAGGCTGAGGTGGAGCATAGCTCATTTTACTTCCAGCTCTCCACAGAAGTGGATACAGAACCCCAGTCCTGTCCTCTTGAAACCGACCTGGAGAGGACCCCATGTGAGACACAACCCTGGAACTGCTCATTCTCTGTGCCCCTGGATATGTATCTAGGGAAGCGGATGCCCTTGCCTTATGGCAGATCTGCCCGCCCAGCTATTCATTTGTAATACATGGCCTTTAATGCTTTGAAGTGAATTTACTTTACACCTAATTTGTTGAGAGTTTTTATCATAAAGCGATGTTCCTTTTTGGAAAAAAGTTTTATTCGTCTATTTAAATGTTATGCTTGATCCTGGGTCTGTCGTTCTGATCAGAAGCTGACAGGTGCATCCATTCCTAGAGGAGAGCATGAGAACATCAGTTCTCACATTCTGTGATCATGACCTGCTTATAATGTCCACTCTGAGTGTCTGACTCCCTGAAGTAAATTGTGGCCCAGGAACTGTCATCTGTTGTCTTCACTGAATTAGGCCAAGTGTCTGGAAAACTGCGTTATATATATGTGATGAATAAATAAGCCCTAACTACAACCTTTTTAGCTATGTCTGAGTGTGCCTGGGGACTCTTTCCTACAGGATCTCTCTGTTTCAAGGACAAAGTCCAGCTAACAGGAAGCTCAAGTGCCCTTTACAAATGTAAGAACATGTTTGTTTTCTATATGATTGTCTAATTATAGAGGGACATGAGTCACTGTGACATGAAAGACCTTCTGGGGTGAAAGAAGAGAAAAAAGTAATAAATACGAACAATCAGAGCATGCCCCAGCAGGCTTTCCACAAAGCCGAGCATTAGGAAACCACTTTTCATATTGTATGCCATTCATTTCTCACAAAAAACATATAAGGTTGTGGGGGAAAGTTAAATATTAAATTTGAATTCAATTGAACATGGACAAAAGCAATGGTCATTAAGTCTCAGACAGGTTGCATGAGCCGCTTGAAGCATTCATCTGGCACTGTTTTGGAGAAATATCTATTTCAATCTATTCCTATGTGTTAGTTATTGAAAAACCACAGACAATTGCAAAAACAAGATAACCTTTTCAAGTTCCTTGAGCCCAGTTGTGAAGAGCCCTCGTGACTGGGCCTCATGCCAAACAACTCATTACAAAAAGAACTAGGGCTCTAGGCCACGCTGAAACTTCCTAAGACCTCTTCTTGTCTGTGCAGGGATGGGTGACCTACTCTGGAGTCGAGGCTGTTGCTTCCCGGTCTGGTAATGAATCCTCCGCAGTCTGGTGGGCGTAAATATGTATATATGTTTCCCTTCTCCCCTTCCCATTGCAATTTGCTTATTATAGCTGCACTGCCATTTACGTCAGATAAAGCTTGTTTACCCTTAAAGGTTTTTTTGGGTGTGTTTTCTTCTCCCCTTGCATGTCTCTCGTACAGAACAGAGGTTCATTTTACAATTCTCTATAAAGATGCAA
This sequence comes from Homo sapiens, assembly GCF_000001405.40. Lineage (NCBI taxonomy): Eukaryota > Metazoa > Chordata > Mammalia > Primates > Hominidae > Homo > Homo sapiens. Next base: position 5,719,143 of record NC_000021.9, on the reverse strand, counting down.
ATTGAGGCTGATAAAGATGCACTGGTATGCTAAGACACAGTTAGTAGCTGGCAGAGTCACCACTGTGCCTTGGAGAAGACATATGCTCAACTACTAGACAGCTGGTCCAGGAACTACAGAGTGGTGAGGAAGTCCTGGTAAAACTTGAGAAAAATGATAAAAAGAAGAGAGTTTGACCCTGGAAGGCTGCTGTCAGGGACTTCGTCAGCTTCTCCGTTGTGCCTGGTTTGGCGCATTGGCATCATTCACACCTCTAGGTTAAGAATAGACTCATTTCCTCTTGGGGAGGGGACAAGACTTTTCATGGCAAGACCATGAAACACCAGAGGCTTGGAATGTGGAGCTTGGATGAGGAAATCTCCATCCTTCAGAGACTTGGGCATGTGGAGGACATGGGTGTTTATGGTGAAAAAGGTTTTAGGCCTCTGATATCAAATTTAATGTGGAGGTAGAGAATAATTAATCCATGAATACAGTCAAGGCCTTCACGATATCATATCAGCTGTAAGACAACAGCACCCACTTGTATTAATAATCTTTATGAAGAGCATTATCCCAGAGAATTCCCAAAAAAACATACTCAGCCTACAAATGAGAAAATAAAGCTTTGTGATGTCAAATGGCTGCTCAGAAAAACACAAGTAAGAAAGAGAATCTTCCACGGTGGGGGTTGCATGAAATTCCCTTTAAGCTACCTGAGGCTCTATGTCTGTCCCTGACTTAGGGGGAAGGGCATGGGGAAGGCTCACTTTCTTTCTGTTTTAGAGACAGGGCACAGGATAAGATACCCTAAGACAACCCTTTTGACTTAAAGCAACTGAACTGGGTCTTTTAAAACCTTAAAGGGAGTGTTGAGAAATAACTACAGCAACCCCACACCTGACAAAGGTGTCAGTGCTTGGGGACTCCAAGGTGAGAGAAACCCCTCACAGGGCCAAGGAATTGAGCGGATTAACTGAGGGAACAGAAAACTCAAATAAGTATAAATCAACTGAAAGGTAACTCAAATATATCAGTTGAAAAATTGAAATAGAAACATGTTTTTTTGCCACATAGATAGCAGATTGACAAAAAAATTAAAAGAATGTTGACAACCAAGAGGTTCTGGATACATAAAAGCAGATAAATTCAGAAACTACTATTTACAGTACGGCTTTCACAACCCTTTTGGAATATATTCCGGCTTCTCCTATTAAACCTTTACACTTTCCTACTGTTTCACTGAGTAATCATTTTCCTGGGAGACTATAATCTACAAGGGATTAGTAAATGTTGTGAGCTAGATTGCATTCCCTTCCTAAAAATTATATGTTCATGTCCTAACACCTAGTGCCTCAGAACATGACTATATTTGAACATATAGCCTCTGCAAATGTAGTTAGGTTTAAGTGAATTAATTGGGGTGTATCCTAATTCCAGATGACTGGAGCCCTTATTAGAAGAGGCAGGAAGGACAGAAAAGCACAAGAGAAGATCTTGTGAACACAGATATAGTAGATGACGATCTACAAGCCAAGGATGGAGACCTCAGAGAAACCACACAGCCAGTAGCTTGAGGTTGGATTTCTAACTTCCAGAATTGTGCGACATTCAGTTTTTGTTGTTAAAGAACTTCAGCCTGTGGTACTGTATTAGGGAAGTCATAGCAAAGCGTTACAGCCTATTAGGACACAGATAAGATGTTCCCTGTAGCGGCTGGGCGCGGTGGCTTACACCTGTAATCCTAGCACTTTGGGAGGCCGAGGCGAGTGGATCACGAGGTCAGGAGATCGAGACCATCCTAGCTAACACGGTGAAACTCTGTCTCTACTAAAAAAAAAACCACACACACACAGAGAAAAAAAATTAGCCGGGCGTGGTGACAGGCGCCTGTAGTCCCAGCTACTCAGGAGGCTGAAGCAGGAAGATGGCGTGAACCCAGGAGGCAGAGTGCAGTGAGCCGAGACTGCACCACTGCACTCCCACCTGGGCGACAGAGCGAGACTCCGTCTCAAAAAAAAAAAAAAAAAAAAAAAGATATTCCCTGTAGCATGGCTGAAGTGGAAATAGAATTTATTATGTCAGGCTCCACCAGTATTAAAAGCCTAAATTACTGAGGGAAAGGCCCCACTTATGGAATCTTATAAAGACATATGAGGACACAGCTCCTGTCCTGATGGGGCTATAGAGGTGGGCTCTGGGACACATATGTAAAGAGTCATATAAGACCCTTTTGCATAACTCCCACTTTTTGGGTGAAACCTCTCTCTAGTAACAGTGTGAACTTCTAAGACTTAGAGAAGGTCTGGCAAGGCAGCGAAGCTGCCTGCTCCAGGAAGTATGTGGGGTAGGTAGATATAACAATAAAAATAATAGCAAAATGCAAAGATACTCACAACTTAATGTAAAGTAATAACAACACAAAAGTGTTTCTTTTGACATTCCTGCAAGCATATGACCAGGGACTGTGCACCTAAGTTGCCATTATGGACTAATGGAGGCCAAATTCCTCTGGGAAGGAACTGTGGGTCCTTAATGGAGAAAGCCCTAAAACGGTTTCTGGGGAATCCTCACATTTGGGTCAGGGTCCTGGGCTTCCCTGGTCTTTTCCATTTGGAGACCTCTCTGTGCCCACCTTGACTCCAGACTAGCACGGGCCATGGTTGTTGGCATGATGCACCTGCCTTTTGTTCAATGAGATGGAGTAGTTGGACTCATCAAACAGCTCCTCAGGGATCTCCTCAATAGAGTTCTGCAAAGAGAGTGCCTGGAAGCCTGGCCAAGAGGCATCAATGGCATCCTGGCTTTCCCCACAGGGGAAATTCCAGTTAGAAAGTCTACTCCCCAGATCAGGCACATAGGAGCATTTGCGCAGACCTCCAGCCAGGGAGAAAACAAGAGGACAGCTTGAAGCCTTAGAATAAATGTCTGAACAAACAAAGGTGACCCCCAGCACTCACCTTCCCCTCCTGCCAACTGTAACCTGCGGTATAAATTTGACAGGCTTTTAGCCTCCCAATACCTGGAAACCTGCTCCTGCCAAGAAAGGACCCATTATCTCTTTCTTTCCCACGAGACGTGGAGATGAGGAGGGGTGTGTGCCTGCCGAGATGATATCAAAGGTGAGGCCTGGCCTGGATAGGCCTGCCATGGGTGGCCTTGTGTTATCTATGGGTAACCCTTTCCAAATGGCCAGAAGAGCCAGCAGTGCAGAATGAGCACTGTCTCCATCATAAAAAAAAGTCTCTCTGTTCAAGCCTTCCTGAGATGAGAGCCTCAGAAATTCAAGACATAGCAGGAGAACATCTTGCTGTCTTCAGAGTCTCCTTAGTAAATACAAAGCTGTCTCTAGAATTAGGGCTCCAGGTTACCAGAGTTCTAAACTTTCTTTGAGTTTGTAACTAAGGAAGTGAGGTCACTTCGAGATTCCATCACCTGGGCTCCGGTGCGGGAAATGAACGAGGGGAAAAGAAAAGGCACCCACAATAGTTTTAAGGATAAATAGCCTTTATCCCAAGTGTATGGCAATACAGACTTGATAAGCAAATAATATAATAAGCAAATTGCAATGGGAAGGACAGAAAGAAAATATATATATGTATATTTATATACATATACATGTATATAAATATACATATATGTATATGTATATTTACACGCACCAGACTATGGAGGATTCATTACCAGACTGGGAAGCAACAGCCTGGGCTCCAGAGTCAGCCACGTGTCCATGCACAGATGAGGAGAGGTCTCATGAAACTTCAGCACAGTCTGGGACCCTAGCTCTTTTTGTAATGTGTTGTTTGGCATGAGGCGCAGTCACAGGTGCCCTTCACAACTGGGCTCAAGGAACACAAAAGATCAACTTGTTTTTGCAATTGTCTGTTGTTTTTTCAATAACTAATGTATAGGAATGGATTGAAAGATTTCTCTGAAACAGCGCTGGATGAACACCTCAAGGGGTTCATGCAACCTGTTCCAGGACTTCGTGACCATTGTTTGTGCCCATGTTCAATTGAGTTCATATTAAATATTTAACTTTTCCTCCACATTAGATTCCCAATTCTCAGAACCATGTCCACTGCCACAGGGCCTGGCTGGGAATATTGTCACTCATAGAGTTTAGAAGATGGAATGCTGGTCAGTGATGATGCTAGGGTGTTAGGTGAAGGCAGCCGGGACAGTCCCTCTAGGTTGAGGGAGGAGCTGGCCTCTCTTGTGGGGTCCTTGGCATGTCATTGCCGCTTTGGGCCTCTGTTTTCTTATGTGGAAAATGTAGGAATGATGAGCCTGTTGGGCAGGCCTCACAAGGTGGTGATGGGGCTCAGGGAGACAGAGAATCTGAGGGTGCTTGTGTCTGGCTCATCCTGAGAGGGAAGATGGTGACAGCAATCATGACAACCACATGAAACCGAGGTGGTAAGAGGCCTTGTGAGGTGGTTGGTTCCCACCACACTTTCCAGTTGAGGAAACAGCTCAGGGAAACCCGACTGCATGCCCAAAATGACACATCCAGGGAGTGTTGGACCTGGGAGTGAGTCTAGAGTCAGAGCTTACTGGAGATGGTCAGAGCATTGGACAAGCTGACTCAGGCCACTTATCCGTGTCCAAGGTTAGTGTGGCTGAGGCGTAACTGAAAGAAGCATATTTTCACTGACCTTGTCCCTCATCCTAGCAGGTGAACACCGTACAAGTTGTCTACCCTGTAGCGGAGCCTCAGAGAGCTTAGATGAGGCTGTGACAGCAGAAGGTGAATGTGTCTGTGATGGGGAAGGGCTCCAGGGTTTCAGAGAACAGAGCTTACTTCTCCCAGCTGGAAACCTCCAAATCAAAAAAGCAGAGGGCCTTTCTACTCCAGCCCTTTTCTCCTGGGGCTGCAGTGCCTAAAACACCTTCATTAGACAGACCAGAGCAAGGCCTGGGAGAGCTGGGCTCCGTGTGGCTTTTAAAACAGGTGGAGCCAGGGACCACATGACCTTGTGGCTTGTTAAAATCCCACCAAGGAGGTAATTATGGTGAGGTTGGTGGCAATAGAGGCCAGCTAATGGGAAGACATAGAGAATTGGGAAAAGGCAGCTGAGGGTTCTCAGCTACTCCAAGTGGGTAACCTAGGTAGAGGGCGCCAGGAGGCAGGGGTTTATAAGAGTTCAGCGGACAGGACTTGGGTGGGCACCTCCCAAGTCATGCCCTCTCTGGGGACATTCCTCACTGATGTGGTGATGCTGGACATTGCCATGAAGGAGTGTGTGGATGTGAGTGAGCCTGGAGAAGACAGGTCAGGGACCAGGATCCTGAGGCCTGGGAGAAGAGAGTCTTGAACTGAGCTCCTAGATCTCAGTCCTTGCCAAAATTTTTTGCGAGGGCCTCGCAGCCCTCCCCATCCCGTAAACAGGGTATTTTACTCATGAGTGATGGAGGCTCCACAGCAGCCATCAGTCCCACTCCCTGAGTAGTGAAGCTGCAGAGCTGCAAGACCTCTTTTGTGCACATTCCCTGACCCTGGTGGCTCTGGTAGTGGTGAAGCTTGGAAATCGCTGGAAATGGAGGCTAGTTATGGACCAGCGGACCTTTCTGATGGTCTTTGGCTTTCTGTCTTCCAGAGAAATGTGATCAAAACCCAGAAAAACAGAAAGGTGAGCAGTAGCTGAAGTCCTCACTTTGAGGGAGGGTGGAGGTGGAAATGAGAAATCACCCTGGGCAGGACATTCCCTGGTCCCTTCTTCCGCATCTAAGATTTATTGAAAGGGAGTAATACACAGAGAAGGAGGAGACCTATCCTAATGCAGGGTGCAATCAGGGGAGTGAAGTTGATGACAACTTCCTAGAGGAAGGGCCGTTTACATTCAACTCTGAGAACCAGTTAGGGCTGCATGATATTGGAGGGGAGGTGAGAGCCCCTTAAAAGAAACACCTCAGAGACCAGCCCTCCTCCCTTCTTTTATAAGGCCCCTACAGAGTCTTTCACCCAGGCCCTGTCAGCATCCTGTCTTTCCCTCTGTTTCCAGAAGATTAAAGTCCTCCAGGAGATGCAGCAGTTCCACACAGCTGGAAACCATCATCATCTTCAGACTCAAGAGGAATTTCGGGCTTTGTTCCAAGCCTGGAGCAGCACAATCAGAATAAAAGGCAAAGACCTAGCAGATGAGCAGAGGGTAGGAGGGGAGACTGTCTTGCCGCCAGCCTCACACAGCGTGTGGCCATGGTTCCCTGGCCGGCATCAGGTCCTGTTGCACCTGGACTCCAGCTGCTGGGGAGGAACTGGGGGACCTGAGGTGTGGCTTCTGGAACCTCACAGCTGTCACTCTTCTCTGAAGTTGCTAGCCATGAAGAACAGGCTGTGATAAAATCTCAGAGCCATTAAGTGCCTGTTGTTGGAATTGCTTTCATGGCTCATTGAAGTTTGTACTAAGCATGGGCTCTGGCAGTCAGGCAGCTCAAGTAGGGTTCCAGCCACACCATTGACCAGCCCTGCGAGTGGGGCAGAAAGCTCACTACTCTGGCACTTGAGGCATCACGTCGTAAATTTAATGCAACCAATCCCTTTTTCACTGTTACCTACCTTTCTCTATAAACACCATGACCTGATCTCTGCTAGCATTTTTCTTAAAATGGATAAACATATGTTATATAGTATATATTATTCTTCCTCATGATTTTTTTGCTATATTGTCTCTTTCCACTCATATGAGATATTTACAGCAGTTAAGTTCATAGAAACACGAAGTAGAAGAGTAGTTTCCAGGGACTACACAAAGGGCAATGGAAGGGGAGTGTTGTTTACTGGGTACAGAGTTTCACTTTTAAAAGATTGAAAAACAGTTCCTTATGAACTTGGACAATGGTTGCAAAACAATGTGAATGTATTTAATTTCTTTAAACTGCACACAAAAAAAATAATAAAATGGTTAATTTCATGTATTTTTATATTTTACTAAAAGGTAAAAACTACTTTCTAAAATGAACAGACTATAGCTATTTGCAACTGGTGGGTGAATATCACAAATGTAATGTTGCATAAAAGAAAGCAGACATGCCAGTTTGGGCAACATAGTGAAACCCTGTCTCTACCAAAAATACAAAACAATTAGCCGGGCATGGTGGTGCAAGGCTGCGGTCCCAGTGACTCAAAAGGCTGAAGTGGAAGGATATCTTAAGCCTGGTAGGCAGAGGTTGCAGTGAGATCATGCCACTGCACACCAACCTGGGGAAAAGAAAGAAAGAAAAAAGAAGAGAGAAAGAAAGAAGGAAAGAAAGAGAGAAAGAAAGAAGACAGAAAAGGAAAGAAAGAAAGAAAACAGAAAAGGAAATAAAGAAAACAGATGTACAAGTATACATACTATATAATTTTGTTTATATAAAATGCTACAATCAAATAAAACTGAGGTTCTGACTTCCACTAAGTGTGGACTAGCTTGTTGAACTCTCACAAATAACAATGATGAAACTTGAATAAAATATATTATTATAGAAAAACGCCTATGCATAATACATATATGATATGTGTGTTTAACAACTGAATGAAGATTTCAGCTATACCCACTGTAGCGGACATAAGCATTGGTTTGACACTAGCCCAATGAACCCTGTTTATAAAACAAAAGTCTTCAAGGTAAAACAGCAAAATCCAGAGTTTCTATTCTATAATTATCATTTATAGTTTCTAGTGCACAATTTTAAAATTCATAAGACTTGTAAAGAAACGTGAAAATGTCATCCATACACAATATCAAAAGCAGGCAGTAGAAGCTATCCCAGGATGTTGCAATCAGCAGACAAGAATTTGAAGGCAGTTTTTATGAATATGTTCATGGGGAAAAAAGAAAATATTCTATTCATAAACAAACAGATGTGGAACTTCAGCAGAGAAATGAACATATATATAAAAAAATTATAGATAAGGAAATGAAAAAAATCTTTTGAGTTTAGCCATAGATTTAAAACAGAAGACACAGCAATAGAAATTATCCAGTCTGGAAAAAAAAAAGTACAAAAAGTTTAAAGGAAATGAACAGAACTCTCGAGACCTGTGGAATGACTGAGTCTAAGGAGAAGGGAGAGACAAAAAATAATTAAATAGGGAACAGAAGTAAATCAACAACTAATAGCGGAATACTTCCAAAAACTGTCCAAATACCTAAATATTTATATCCAAAAGGTCAATAAATACAAAACAAAATACAAATAAAACCACAGCAAGGCCATATCGTGGTTTATGAAACAGGCAAGGCAGGGCTTTTGCTTGACTTGCTGTGATATCTAATTGCTACTATTTATGGATACTATGGAAATAAATACTAAATAGAATGGGAGATAGGTTATTCTCAGAGTTTTTTTTTTTTTTTTTTTTGCAAAGATGACTGTTATTAAAGGTAGATGACTTTCCAGCATGTCGAAAGGGGCGTGGCAGGGGAGGGGCGAGGAGAAGGGTCGGGGCTGAGGGAGGGGCCCTGCAAAGGTCTGGGCGCGCCCAGCTCCCCGAAAGCAAGCGTTACAGCAACGCTGGGCAGGCTGTTGGAGGCTCCCGGGCTCTGTCTTGTCAGAGAGAAATCAAACTTCAGGCACAAATAGTCGTACAACTGGCACGTGGGGAGACTGTGCCACAATTACAAGTGAGACCACCTGCCCTGGCCACGCTGTCTCCTCGCACGCAGAAGTTTGGGAACAGATAGGCTCCCCTCAGCAGGGCGGAATTGCACTGGAAACATGGAGGGGCGGAGGAGAAGATGAAATTATCCCCTCAGTGTTGGAACTGTAGTCTCAGAGAAGATGAAATTTTCCCCGTAGTGTTGGAACTGTAGTCTCAGATCCACTCCCAGCCTTTCTGTCGCGGCAGTCGGACTATGATCCCAGCATGCGCTGGGCTTAAGGGAGGTTCCCAGCCCTGGAGGAAGGGTCAACAGGGTGGGTCCCTCGCAAGGCGTCCTGGGAGTCATAGTCCTTAAACAGTTTCCAGCACGTTGATCGCAAGGCTACCGAACTACAATGCCAGCATGCACCGGGATTGGGGCGGTGTGTAACGCTGGAGGGAAGGATAGAGAGGCGCGTCCCTGGCCAGGGATGCTGGGAGTTATGGTCTCTTAACGGTTTCCAGCGATGGCCCCCGGCCTGCAGACTACAATCCCAGCAGCCACCGGGCTTCGAGGCGGTGTGTAGCACTGAAGGGAAGGATAGGGAGGTGCGTCCTTAGCCAGGCGTGCTGGCAGTTATGGTCTCTTAACAGTTTCCAGTCAGTTGGTCCCAGGACTACCTGACTACAATCCCAGTATGCGTTGGGCTTGGGGGCGGTGCGCAGCCCTAGAGGAAGGATCGGGACGGCGGGTACCTCGCAAAGCATCCTGGGAGTCATAGTCCTTTCAGTATTTCCAGCCCATTGGTCGCGAGGCTAACGGACTACAATCTCAGCATGCGCTGGGTTTGGGGGCGGTGTGTAGTATGGAAGCGAAGGATAGGGAGGCGCGTCCCTAGCTAGGAGTGCTGGGAGTTATGGTGTCTTAACGGTTTCCAGCCCATTGGTCGCCGACCTGCTAACTACAAAACCAGCATGCGCTGTCTGTCCTACCCCGTGGTGCGCAGCCCTGGAGGGAGGGACAGGGCGGTGTGGACTCGTCCTTTCCTAAGCGATGCCACATGCTGATTCTGTGCCACCCCCTCGCCAAGGGAGTCCGCAGAAGGACTTGAGGGGCAGGTCTAGGCTGGGCGATGAGGACGGTGTGACCCTGCGAAGTGCACCTCCCTTGCTCAAATCGGAGGGGTCTGGTCCTCACTGAACAGCCCGCTGAACATCTCGGTGTCCTCTCACATACACACCCGCGGGGGGTTTCCAGAGCATCGCACCTCTTCCAGCCCAGGGAGCCGCCTGCTCTGCTAAACTCTATGGGAACTGAGACATCCACCTGCTGCGTGACCCACCCGTGCGCAACTTCAGAGCTTTCAGGGGGTGATGCGGGCTGTGGCTCCTTCGTGAAAATGTCACCGTCTGCAGCGCCTTTCTTGTGATATAGAACTTGACGGGTGAGAGCGGGTATTTCTTGGGTTACTCAGGATCTGCTAACAGCAGAGGAGAAAACCACAATTCCCAGGCATAAGAATCTACCTAAAGACGATGGTTTAGATATTTTACAGTTGAAATCACCAGCCTCATCTCAACTGAGTCCTGACTGACGAGTGTCTCAAAAAAGCAGTTGGTGACCTCATCCCTCAGGAACAGGTGGTGCTCCAGCTTTGTGGGGATGACTTTCAAGGTGCAGAGCACTTGAGCCGCATTTGAAGTCATTCATGTTTTACATCTCTGCTTTGGATGGAAAGTTGATCCCCCACAGCCGTTGGGGATGTACCTTAATATACTGGGGCTTATGAGTTAAATTTTTCTGTCTAGACAATGAAAACCCAGAAGTTCCACTTGCAGGTAGCCTCTTAATAATCGACGTCCCTAAGTTCCTTATGTCCTCAGGATAGTTCCTTTTGTTCCCAGATGTTACCAACTTTGATGATGCATCTAATCTGTATAAACCTGTGTATTTCTCTATGTGAAAAGAATACTTTGTTCAAATTACATGTTCTTATAATTTTCACTTGTGATCGGTGAGTATGGGACACTATAAAAAAATCCTGAAAAACCTCATCATAGCAATTGAATCACGTTACTGTACTTTATGAGGAATTAACCCCTTCAGGATGAATTACTCATGGGTTCATCAGCACATTTGTGAAGAAAGGAAGAAAAACTGTATGGCCTTTATGAAATTGGAAAAATAAAGAACTATATATAGGAGGACCACAGCACAATACTAGGGCCCTTCTCTTATTTTAAATAGACTCTATGGGGTCGAATGCCTGCATTCCTAACCTATCCTGCAGTATTCTCATCCTACTCTTCACTGTGTATTTAGGTGTGGGTTTCTGAATTCACTTGTCCACAGCGTTAGTGGGGATGTTGTAACGTGAGGGTATCCATCATCTATCATCTTAATAATTAGTGAAGAGAAGAGCCTTGAGATCTGTCTTCAGATACACTGCTGCCGAGTATGTGCCTGCAAAGACACTGCCCACACCGGTGGTCTCAGAAAGTTGAACCTGATGCCACCACAAGCTGCTGTTCACAGATCTAGGTGCTCCTGGTGATTTGAGTCTCCTGCTTACATTTGTGGTTGTGAACCTGCTATGCTCACCCCATTTATGGTAGTATATTTTGTGTCACCTTTTCTATTCCATTTGTTTCCTGGGAACTCACTGTGTAGCTGCAATTCAGAGAATATGTAGGGATTCCACCCCCGACTACCTAAGTCACTGTACACTGGTCACATTTGTGTCATGTTTTCAGACTACACACTCTTCCTCTCTAATGGAATTTGTTGAAGAAATATAGTTGCCTGTAGATCTCCTCAGTGTAATGTGGCTGGGATTGATTGTGAAGCTGGGCATGTTGTCCTTGGCCTCATAGACATTATTCAAAATACCTTTCCCATATTTTGAAGTTTGATACTACTTTGTTAATGTGAACACTTGCCATAGCAGGCTCTATTAAATATCTCTGTGAATTTAACTGTCAAAACAACTTATGAAGTAGGCACATGATCCCCATTTTACAGGTGAGGAAACAAATGTTCCAAGATTTTGAGTAATTTTATTAACTTTACACAGCTTTCTGGTGCATTTTGAATCTTAAGTTGGATCTCTTTCTCCACAATATATGGGCTTACCTCCTTTTCTATTTTGTGCCTCTCTGCTAGCATCTGCAAGGGTACATTTTATTTTTAGTACATCTTCCACTTGATGGTAGGAAACTTGACAAACAGATCCTTAGTGGGAGAGGAAACTCACTGGCATTTGTCCTTCTCTCTGCTCCTTCTTACCCTGGCAGGCATGAGACTTATCAAGTGAGATGGAGCAGTGGTAGATCCTGACCAGTCCTCACCTGGAATATTTGTTATTATAAAAAAATAGTCCTCTCATTTTTTACAAGTGTAACTTCTTTGCCTTAAAGTTTTGTCTGGGCTTTCTCTTACAGGTTCCTGCGAATTAAGTTGCAAATATTGATGAAGATAATACTACTGCCTTGCTGTCAAACAGTAACAGTCACCTTTTTTTGTATCTCCAATTATAAATGCAATGCGTACTGTAAAAAGAAAAGAAAACATCATAAATATCTTTATAAAGTAAAAGTCTTGGCTGGTCGCCGGGAGCAGTGACTCATGCCTGTAATCTCAGCACTTTGTGAGGCCGAGGTGGGTGGATCATGAGGTCAGGAATTTGAGGCCAGCCTAGCTGACATGGTGGAACCCCATCTCTGCTAAAAAATACAAAAATTAGCTGGTCTCGGTGGCGGGTGCCTATAATCCCAGCTACCCACGAGGCTGAGGCAGGAGAATCACTTGAACCCAGGAGGCAAATGGTGCAGTGAGCCAAGATCGTGCCATTGCACTCTAGCCTGGGCAACAGAGTGAGACTCCATCTCAAAAACAAAACCAAACAAAAAACTTGGTTGGCCTAGTGGCTCAATCCCAGCACTTTGGGAGCCCAAGGCAGGTGAATTGTTTGAGCCCAGAAGCTCAAGACCAGTGTGAGCAACATGGTAAAACCCTCTCTCTACAAAAATACAAAAATTAACCAGTTGTGGTGATGTACACCTGTATTCCCAGCTACTAGGGAGGCTGAGGTGGGAGGATTGTTTGAGCCTGGGAGGCCAAGTTTGCAGTGAGCTGAAATCACACCACTGCGCTTCCATGTGGGCAACAAAGTGAGACCCTGACTCAAAAAATAAAAAACACATTAAACTGAAAGTCCCCTTTATTCCCTTCTCTTCAAACTCACTTTTTTTATTTGAAAAAACTGTTAAGAGGTTGTTTTTTATTCTTCTGGCTAAGTTGTATAAATTTCTTTTTTTTTCGAGACAGACTCTCGCTCTGTTGTCCAGGCTGGAGTGCAGCGGCGCGATCCCGGCTCACTGCAAGCTCTGCCTCCCGGTTTCACGCCATTCTCCTGCCTCAGCCTCCCGAGTAGCTGAGACTAGAGTTGCCCGCCACCACACCCGGCTAATTTTTTGTATTTTTAGTAGAGACAGGGTTTCACCGTGTTAGCCAGGATGGTCTTGGTCTCGATATCCGGCCCCCTGATCTGCCCACTTCGTCTTCTCAGAGTGCTGGGATTAGAGGCGTGAGCCACCGCCCCCGGCCTGTTCTATAAATTTCTAAGTGATACACACATAAAGTTTATTTTAAAAATTACATCACACTACATTAAAATTTACTCTTTCTCCAGGTGTATTCCATCTATCTATCTATCTATCTATCATCTATCATCTATCTATCTATGACAAGGCCTTGCTCTGTCACACAGACTGGAGTTCAGTAGCTCAATTATGGCTCACTGCAGACTCAAACTCTCAGGCTCAAATGATTTTCTAACTTCAGCTTCTGAAGTAGCTGGGAGTACAGGTGCATGCCACTACTCCTGGTTAATTTTTAGTTTTTGTTTGTTTTTTTCTTTAAACAGGGTCTCACTGTGTCACCTGGGCTGGAATGCAATGCATAATCACAGCTCACTCTAGCCTTGACCACTCAGGCTCAGGCAATTCTCCTGCCTCAGCCTCCTGAGCAGATGGGACCACAAATGTGTATTAACACACTTGGCTGTTTATTATTATTTGCAGAGACAGGGTCTCCCTATCCTGCCCAGGCATGTTGTGAACTCTTGTGCTTAAGCAATCTGCTACCTCGGCCTCCCAAATTGCTGGAATTACAGGTGTGAGCCACCACAACTTACCCAGCCTTTTTACTTTGTGTAAGAATAGCATCAGTGTATTAAAAATACAACGGAAATTATTTATGGTGTCTTTTCAATTCTTATGCATTAAAATTCTCTTATTAGGGCCTTTTATTAATGGTTACAGTGTATTTTCTGTGAAATTTTACTGTCACACACTGCATGCCAATGATTCAAGATACCCGAACTTCATGAATGCACAGTCACAGTAGAATATTTTAGTTATCTAAAAAGTATTTTCATAAATGATATATCAAGTTTATATGCAAGGTAGCCTGGTCTGGTAGCAGGTGCTTGTAATCTCAGTGAAGGCTGAGGCAGGAGAATGGTTTGAACTCAGGAGGCGGAGGTTGAAATGAGCCGTCGTCTCGCCACTGCACTTCAGCTTGGGTGACAGAGTGAGACTCTGTCTCAAAAAAAGAAAAAAACTTTGCTTGCAAGATTTTATGAGTAAATATGTTTCTTATTTTTCTTTACAATTCCATATTACTGTCTCGATTATTTATAATAGGTTCCAGGGCAGCAGTTGATTTTATTTTGGGTTTTACTTATGTATTATAACTTTGGATGTTATAATTTCCAACTCTGCCTGTACACTTCAAGTCAATGTGGATTTTTAAAAAAATGTTAATAGTACAAACTATTCATAGATTCAACTTCGTAATGTTAAAAGCAACGGCAGCTCCTGGTTTAAAAAGGGAACGGTGGAAGCAGCCGGCCATTTTATTTAAAATCGCGTTAGATTTTTCAGAAGGATGATAGTTAAGATCATTAAATCCCATTACTGCTTCTAAGATTTCCACAAAATAGCACATTAAATCCTCAGTCCTAAACAATCACGACAGAGATTCAAAATTGCCTCTCAATGTCAAGGTAAACAGCGCACTATCTTCTCTTGCAATAAAGGTACATCATTTGATATACAAGGGAGCATAGCAGTCAGACACTTACAAGATCGTGCTGTAGAAATAACTTCCATGTTTTCATCCGCCATGTGTATCCTCACCTCTGTCTCCCATGCAGTAACACTATCAGTTTCCTCATCTGTCCTTTCTACTTTCTTTTAAAGAGGAGGCTGATTGCAGACAATACATGACAGAGGCATTTCAAATCAGAAAGGAGTTTCTTGAGATATACGTGATTTTAGTTTTAAGTAGAATGTCCTGAAGAGTTTTAGTTACAATACCACCTTCAAGAGGATGGTGGTGAAATTCATAGTAAACATTTGGCAAAATATAGGTTATGAGGCAGCCATCTCCTAGAAACACTTCATCGGGGTTTATATATGAAATGTGAAATATCGTAGGTTTAATCCTGGCACAGAACCAAAACTGAGTGCATTGCACTTGAACAGCTGACCAATCCCCAGCACAGGTCCATATGAAGAAACGGAGAAGAAAGAATCCTTTTAACCACAGAAAGGTCTTCATTTGCCCAAACTGAAAACCAAATTTCACTCAGGAAACTAATGTTGGGTTTAATTAAAATATAAATCGGTCATACGTTTTCAAAATTAAATTATATATGTGTTTGTCTCTATAAATATGTCCCCAACTTTGCTCATGGCTTATCTTCCATATTTTTTGGCTGATTTTCAGTGGTTGTCTTATCTTGTGTGGATGAATAGTCATTGAAATAATCTTAATTTCACAATGTGTTTAATTATAAATCTATACTTCCTTTGTGTGAGAGAAAATCTTTTGTGAACAAAATTTAATTTTTGGAAAGCTTTATAAGTCCATATTTTTCCTTTTAAAAATTGCGATTGTGGTAAAAACACATAATGTAAAATTTACCATTTTAATTCTTTTTAAGTGTATATTTCATTAGCGTTAAGTACATTCACATAGTTATGCAAAAGATCTGTAGAACTTCTATGTCTTGCAAAACTAACATTAAATGTCTTTTAAGACAATTGCCCATTTTACCATCTCTTCAGTCCTTGACAAACACCATTCTAACTTTTTTTTTCTATGAGTTTGTCTACTTAAGATACCTGATTATGAATGGAATCATAGACTGTCACTTTGTTCCTGGCTTATTTCAGTTAACGTGATATTCTCAAGAATAATCATATAATGTGACTTTTTAAAGACTGAATAATATTCGACTTTGTGTATGTGCCACTTGTTGTTAATCTCTTCATTGGTCAAGGGACAGCTGGGTTGTTTCTGCCTTTTGGCTTGTGTTAGTAATGCTGCAATAAATTTGGGTGTGCAAATATCTCTTCCGGATCATGTGTTGTATATTTTAAATACATAGCCAGAATGGGGTTTGCTGGATTGTATAATAATCTCATTTTAAATTTTTTGAAGAGCTTTCATACTATTTTAAAAATAGGTTTGATGTGATAGATTATTGTGACTTTTCTTTGTATTTTTCTAGAAGAGAGTTGTCGAGTATCCTTTTAAATGCCTAGTCATTTCTATGTCTTCTTTGGAGAAAGTCATTTCAAACATGTGCCATTCTAAATCAAGTTATTAACTTTTTTTGTTGTTGAGTTTTAGGAATTTATATATTTTGAAAATTAACACCTACCAAATATGTGATTAGAAAATATTTTTACTCTTTTTAGTTATATGTATGTATGTATGCATATATATAACCCTATACAAGACAGGGTCTTGCTATGTTTTCATGGCTAGTCTCAAACTTTTGGTCTCAAGTGATTGTTCTGCCTTGGCCTCCTAAAGTTGTAGAATTAAAGGCATGAGACACCATGCCTAGCTTTCACCCACTTATTAGGTGACGTTTGTATGGCACTAAATGTTTTATTTGATGTGTAGAATAGTTGAAGCTTAATGTAGTCCCTTTTCTTGGTCGTTGTTCTTTTCCTTGTTGCTTATGAATTTGATGTCAAACTTAAGGAAAGAGTTTTAAGACTTATGTCATAAACTTTTCCCTTATGTTTACTTCTAAGAATTTTATTAGGTTTTATGTTTAAGTATTGAATTCATTTTAAAAACTTTTCTTTTTATATATGATACAAAGGAAGCATCCAACTTTATTTTTTTCTCTGTAAATATTCAATTTGGAAAACTCTTTGTTAAATGGATTCTTATTTTTCTATTGTGTGGTCATGGAAAGCTTACGGAAGATTATTTTATCACATATGCAAGGGTTTATTTCTGGGATCTCTATTCTGTTTCGTCATCTATGTATCTGTTTTTGTGGCAATACCACATTGTTTTTATTTTTGTAGCTTTGTATCATGATTTTGAATCAGAAAATGTAATACCTCTTTGTTCTTTTTAAAGGGTGTTTGGCTAGTCACCTGTCCTAAGCAACGTTTAGAATTATACACAAAAATTCTGCAAAAAAAATACCATTGGGATTTTGACAAAAATTACCTTACATTTTTATATCATCATGAGTAGTACTGACAACATTTTTTTTTTTTTTTTTTTTGGAGATGGAGTTTTAGTGAGTCACTCAGGCTGAAGGGCAGGGGTGCGAGATGTGCTCACTGCAGGCTCCGCTTCCCAGGTTCAAGCAATTCTCCAGTCTCAGCCACCAGAGTAGCTGGGATTGCAGTCGTGCACCATCACGTCTAGCTAACTTTTGTATTTTTAGTAGAGATAGGGTTTTGCCATATTCACTAGGCTAGTCTCAAACTTCTGATCTCAAGTGATCCACCCACTTTGGCCTCCCAAAGTCCTAGGATTACAGGCATGAGCCTCATGCCGGCCCTGACATCTTAACAATATTAAATCACCTGACACTTGAGCAAGACTATATGAAAGATTTTGCTTAATTTCCTCTTATTTACATATTTGCCACATTTTCTTGCTTTTGAATTCTAGTTTCATTTACATTGTATGGCTTCAGTTTTCTTAAATTTAATAAGACATGTATCCTAACAGAATGTACCATGTGTGATTTAGAATATTGCAGATTTTGCTCCTTTAAATTGGAGAGTTCTGTAAATGCTGGTTGGGTCTATAATGTTCAGGTTTGGCTTTCTTACTGATATTACTTCTGACTATTCTAGTCATTACTGAAAGTGGAGTCTTGAAGTCCACCATTGTTGTGTTGCTATGTATTTCTTGCTTGACTTCTGTCAATATTTGTTTTACATATTTGAAAGACGAGAATCAGTTGAACCTGGGAGGAGGAGGTTGAAGTGAGCCTATCGAGAGATCATGCCACTGCCCTCCAGCCAGAGAGAAAGAAACTCTGTCTCTAAAAAAAAAAAAAGAAAGAAAGATGTCAGTGCTATTTATAGTAATACAAAAATTTAATGTAATTTTTGTCAAAATCTCAGTGGTATATTTTTGCAGATTTTTCAAATTATATATATATGATTTATAAATTATTGTTATAGATTCCTGGAAAGTTAATCCATCTCACCATTACATAATACCAATCTCTCTCGGCCGGGCGCAGTGGCTGACGCCTGTAGTCTCAGCAATTTGGGAGGCCGAGGCGGGTGAATCATGAGGTCCAGAGATCGAGACCATCCTGGCCAACAAGGTGAAACCCCATCTCTACTAAAAAGTACAAAAATTAGCTGGGTGAGGTGGCGGCGTGTGCCTGTAGTCCCAGCTACTCGGGAAGCTGAAGCAGGAGAATCGATTGAACCAGGGAGGTTGTGGTTGCAGTGAGCCGAGATCGTGCCACTGCACTCCAGCCTGGTGACAGAATGAGACTCTGTCTCCAAAAACAAAAACAAAAACACAATACCAATCTGTCTCTTGTTCATATTTTTGATTTAAAATATATTTTGTTTAGTATAATTATGACCATGGCCCTCCAATTTTAGCTACTCTTTGAATAAAATATATTTTCTTTATACTGTTACTTTCAACTTATTTGAGTCCTTAGAGCTGAAGTGACTCTTGTAGAGAGCAAATTGCTGGATCTTCTTTGTTCTTAATCCATTAAATTATTTATTAATTTTCTTTAAGGTATTTAACTTTTTATATTTGAA
This sequence comes from Homo sapiens, assembly GCF_000001405.40. Classification (NCBI taxonomy): domain Eukaryota; kingdom Metazoa; phylum Chordata; class Mammalia; order Primates; family Hominidae; genus Homo; species Homo sapiens. Next base: position 5,700,473 of record NC_000021.9, on the reverse strand, counting down.
GTAATTACTGCATTTAATGAAGTTACTTTATTATTTGTAATTGTCTTCTGTGTTTCTTGTAGATGTGTTATTTATCATTTTTTCTCTTACTGCTTTATTTCTGTTTGTTGATTTTGTAGTGACGTGATTGAATTTCTTTCTCATTTGCCTTTGCATACATTCTACAGGTTTTTTTTGGTAATCATCCTGAGAAATAAAGACTTCATAAATCATCTTAAAGTTATGACAGTATAGAACAACTATATTTCAACTGAATGCAAAGTTGTACCTCTTGACACCCCCACTGTTTTATTAATATCGCATATTATCTTTCCTTATGGTCTATGATCACAAATTTATGCAGATTTCTGCCTCATGTTTTAAACTCCATGGCAATATTTTGAAAGTTTTGTGCACCATGATTATGACAGTAGAGATTTCTTTACCTGTTTATATATTTACCTTTAATAGAGAGCTTTCTATTTTCATGTGCTGTTATGATGCTCTGCAGCATCATTTCATTTTTGGACGTGATAGACTCTTTTACACTTCCTTTAGGACTGTTCTAGTGGTTAGTAACACAATCAACTTTTATTTATTTGGAAAGGTTTAGTTTTTTTATTTCTGAAGTGATATTACTCCAGTTGAAGGTTTTTGTTTGGAAGTATTTCTTCTTGTTTAATTATCTTGCCATGTGGGGATTTCTCAGCTACTTTTTAAAAATAACCTCTTTATTACTTTTCTCCTATATTGTTTTTGTAAGACTCCTTTCATAAATATAATGGTCCACTTGACCATGTGCAGTACTTCCCATACTTTTTCCTCCATTCTGCTTAAAAAATTTGTTTTCATCACTCAATATTTATAACTACAATGTCATCAATTGTGTAATTTTTTCTCCTTTATTAGTCTGCTTTTGTGACTGTTGATTAAATTTTTAATATAGCTATTATGTTCTTCAGATTCACAATTGTTGGTTTTTAAAAATCTTTTTATTGATATCTCATTTTCTTTATGTATCACTTCTTCTAATATTCTTTTGTTGTCTATGTTCTGTTTTTGTTCATTAAGCAGTTTTTTCTAATCACATTTTATTGAAAACTGCACTGAATGCTAAATGTCCATCTTTACAATAAACAACTACAGTAACGGTAATTCGCACTACACTAAAACAAAACGTACTTCTGATAGCCATTATTTTTCTGTTTGGGACAGTCTTAAAAATTTCTCTTTTCTTACAAAAACGGGAATGTACCTAATCAAAGGATCAAAACAGGCCATCTTTTTAAACAAAAAGACTATATTCACAAAAGACTATAAATAGAACATGTAACTAATTGATGCAAATCTAATATAATTTGTTAAAATCAGTCACATCCAATACAGCTGAAGTGTTCTTGTATAAAACACAACGTGAAGAAAAGAAGACTTTATCAATGTCTTAAAAAGTGGGTTTGTTCATAGACAATCTGACAAGTTACCATTAAAAGTGTTTCCTGTGACATAAGAAAATGCAACACTATTTTTCTTGAACCCTTTTAGTGCAAGACTTCCCACTAAATAAAATAGCAGAGGATCTGAAACTGAGAAAATATACTTGATTACAAACAGCGTGTGAAACTTAATACTTTTTTTTTTTTTTTTGCATTATCAGAGGCTTTTACTGAACTTACAACCAACTTGCCCGCTCAGTATGCAGTTCAGATGTGAGAGACGCTTCTCTGTACAGGAGCCGGTACTGTCTTCAATCTTATGTGTGAGGATGTCTACCATAGGCAAACAGTTTACTCCATATTTTCTAGTAATGTGATCTTCCTATTAACAAAATGCTGTAACCAGTCCCTGTAGACTGAAGGGACTCAAGTCACAAGATGGGGATTTCCTCCTCATGGTTTTTATTTTGATGTTTGAAGTCTTGATGCAACATTCTGAGCAGGGTGTTCCAGACCTGCTGTGCCCAAGGGACTGATAAAGGAAAAAATTGTATTCATTCTTTGTGATTTGATGCACAGATGAAAAACTAAACACATAATAACGGAAGTTGGTGGTTAATAAATCACATCCTAGTCTTTCAGAGCTTCCGTAAGCAGACGACATCTGCAGTTTTCTAGGTCTTGCAGTTTTAACAGTGCAAAACCAATGAGCATATGTCCAGAATCAGCTAAAAAGAGCGTCAGATTCTTTTTCTCTTAGTTTGTCTATTTTTCACTGTCTCTTCTTCAAAAGTGTATCTGAATGATTACCTTCCGGCATTCTCTGTTATTACTCGTTGGGGTGCTCTCGATTGTCCCCGTGTTTGAGGGCTGGTTGGGAGAGGGTGCTTGGGAAGGATGTGCCACTGTGGGGAGTTTGTGAGTCACCGGGATGCCTCCAGGGAATGTCCCTTCCATGGATGCAGGAAGTCCTCCTGGACCCACGCCCAAGATGCCTGGATGAATTTCTTGCTGGTCTATTTCCCACCAAAGCACAGATGTGACAAAGAATTCCTCGTTCACACAGTTTCTTAAGCTTCCTGGGATGCGACCTGTGATGGCTCGGCGGAGCTCGGTGGCAGCTGTCTCCCTCATCTCCAGTGACACCTGCTGGCTGTAGCAGGCAGTGAGAGGAGTGCAGATGAGATTGGGGGCATCTTTCAACGGACCCTGAGCAAAGCTAAAGGGCTGCGACTCGTTCACGTCGACGACTGCCCTTCGTATCCTGCCTTCCTTGAGGGCCTGTGCTAAGGCTCTCTCGTCCACCAGGCCACCACGGGCTGCGTTCACAAGGAATGCTCCCTGCCTCATCTGCTTTATGGTAAAGTCATTGATGAGGTGGTGCTTAAGTTCGTTGAGACTGCAGTGCAAGGAGATGCAGTCGCTCTGATACAGCCAATCCTGCAGGGTGTAGACCCTCTGCATGCCCAGGGACTGCTCGATCCCATCCTGCAAGTAGGGGTAATAAAACATGACGCTGAATCCAAAGGCTGTGGCTGGAACTGCAAAAGCCTGCTGCGTGCGACCCTAGCCGATGAGGCCCAGCGTCTTCCCACGAATGCGGGCCACTCCCGAGGCCACCTCGCAGATCTGCTCCATGCTCTGAACCCGCTTGCCTTCCCACAGTGCCTGGTACAGCCATGTGTTCCTCCGGTACATGTTGAGAATGTGGCAGTTGGTGGAATTGGCTGTCTCTTCCACGGCTGCGGACGGGATGTTTCACACAGCAATTCCGAGCTCGCTGGCAGCCTTGATGTCCACGTTGTCATAGCCACTGCCCACCCCCACGATCACTCTCAAGGACTTGAAATTTGCCAGAACCTCCCTGGTGAGGTGATTGTGTGGTGCATCATGGGGCCCACGGCTCTGTTTAGAACTTTCTCGTGGATTTCCTGCGTGGACTGCATCATAGAAGGCCACGGTGGCCTTCAGGATGGGCATGTCCACAGTGCAGTCACGGCCGACCAGGAACGCTGCCAGTGAGCGGGGGCTTAGGGGGTCTTTCGTGATCTGGCGGCGAATTCCTTCACAAATTCTGTCCAATCGCTGTCTCTTGACTTAGCGCTTATCCACAGGGCCATTCTTTACGGAACTTTGCAACTCTCAGATCAAAAGGTAAAGCAGTCCTCTAAGAACTTAGGGGAACTCGCAGGAGTCTGTGTGCATGATGCCACTATGAACCCAATATAAATTTGTTCACAAACTCTATAGTTCACACGATGGGCTGTCCGTCTCTTTAAGGGAATATAGCTTCATTGGTTCAAAACCATTTAAGGTGATGAAACCCATTTGGTTGCAACTCAGCCACCATCGCGCAGTCAATCAACGAATCTCACCACGACCCCAGGTCTGGAGCTCCTGGAGTCCGCGACCGCTGGGGGTGGAGGCGGCTTCGGCCTGGTGCAGCCAGGTCCTTGCTCCTGCTCTGAGCCTCGGGCGTGGGTTGGGGGTCCACCCGGGTGTCCCGCATGGTGTCTAAGCTCCTCCCTTGCCGGAGCCCTGCGGACTGGAGGAGTGTTCATATCATTAAGGAGCTTTGATAATTATTTTGATTTTCAAAATTATATAATGCAAAAACAACAACAACAAAGAATAAACCTACAAATTTTGACCTTTAAAAGTCAACAAAGATTTTTAAAGATCAATATTTGTAGGTTTATTTTATTTCTTCAATTGGGACATGTTTTCGTCCTTTTCTGTATGCCCTGCAATCTTTTGATGAGATTCAGAAATTTATAAAACAACTGTGTAATGTAGTATGTACAAACTTGCTTACTACAAGATAATACAACAATCAGTGAGGCTGTACATCCTGGTTCTTCATTAACAGTGTCTTCAATGTGTCTTCTCTGGGCTTGTGTGTGGATTTTTAAGGTAAAGATATTTTTTCCCATTGTTTTCCAGACACTGTGGTCCTTTGCTTCCGCAGTTGATTGTAGTGTTTGTTTCTCTGAGGCTGTGGTAAGCATGTAACTTCTCTTCTCAGCAGTCATAAGTTATCATTCTCATTACTCTGCCATTTCCTTTAGCATTCCCTGTTTGGGGAGACAGAATCTAGTCATCAGCGGTAGCCCACAAAGCCAAACCTTTGAACATATGTTCCACTGTTCTCATTCTATACTGAGGGATATACTAAAAGTTGGACGTTTTCTCTTGAGCCCAATTGCTGTTCTGGGAAAGAAGAAGGGATGTGGTGAATATAAGCCAGACCTGGTTGCCTCGTACAGCAAGCTTTTCCAACCCGCCTTGTTTTGTTTTTGTTATGGCTCTGTTTTGTTTTAGGTTTTTAGCAGCCTGCAGCAATGGTTTTTGGGTTCTGTGTCTAGTGATAAGTGGAAAAGGGGGATGAGGAAAGGGCCTTACTGGCTCAACCAGAAACAGAAACTAAGAACTCATGGCTGTAGTCTCCCGTGGATGCCCCTGTCCTACAGTAAAGGAAATGTCTTTGGAATGTAAAAAGAGAGAGAATAATAGGCAACACCCCAATAGGGAAGAATAAACAAATAACAAAGATGAGAGGTGCAAAGGCCAAGGAGAAAACCTTAAAAATGTGGTGTTGGAAGTTCTGCTTCAAAGAAATTGGTTCTGGAAAATTCTAAATTTACTTCTTTTGCTGCCACAGGTGGAAATTTCCTACCCTATGCTTATTATGCTCTTAAATCTTCTAAGGCTTCTCTGTTCATCCACTAACATTCCAGGGCATTCACAGTGACAGCCAAAGTTCACCTCTTCTTTCTGCTATTCCCATGAAGCTCTTGTGGTCTGAGTGCTTTTCCATTGTTTTTGGGATCTGAGGAAATCTGCACATTTTGTGAGACTTCTATGTTAAGCTGTTTTGTAAAAATCTGTGCCTCATGTCAGAAGTTTGTGAGAGCAAAAGTGCAGGCATTGGGGTTTGGTTCACATATTTCAGAAACACCAAGGACAAATGTTTCCTCCTCATAATTTTCAGTCCTATTATTTCAAATGTGTTCCTGCAAAAAAATCAGAAAAAAAATTTATCAGAGCCCAAAGCACCTCAGCAGATATGATAAAGTTGAATCTTCTATTTCACTTTATTCTTTTTTTCATCTCTGGTAATGTAGGTCAAAAAGTTTTCTTTCCCTTAGTAGAAACTAACTTAGAAATGTGAACTCTCTATGCCAAACATATCACCTATGGAATAGTTTATTGTATCTACTCATCTCAAAGAATTTTTAAGGACCTTAATCCATAGAAAAACTTAGAAACATGCCAGGAATAGAACAAATTCTTAACTGTTACATTATTTCTTAATGAGTTATTTTATTAATTAATCTTATATAAAGCTTAGTGGGACTGTGATCTGTATGTTTTCCCTGTCCTGTTTTTACGTATGTCAAATTAGCCTATAACTTTAGCTTCAGGGGTTTCAGAAAACATACTTGAATTTATGTGTTATATAAAAAGTGAATTGGATGATATGCACATCACATTAAGAAAAGTTTTAGTTTGTGTCTAAGTTCACTGCATAGAAAAACTTATCATTAGTGTTTCCATTTACTTTCCTCAACATTTATCTGAATGATAGTATAATTTATTTCTAATTGCTTATTATATTGTAGTTTTCCACAGCATATTTTACAATATTCATGTTGTTCCCATATGTAAAAATGTAAGGCTTTTCTTTGTTTTAAAAATAATAAATTATAGGCCAGTGCTGTGTTTCATGCTTGTAATCACAGCACATTAAAAGGTCGAGATAGGTGGATCATGAGGTCAGGAGTTCAAGACCAGCCTGGCCAACATGGTGAAATCCTGTCTCTACTAAAACTACAAAAAATATCGCCGGCGAGGAGCGGTGACTCAAGCCTGTAATCCCAGTACTTTGGGAGGCCGAGACGGGTGGATCACGAGGTCAGAAGATCAAGACCTTCCTGGCTAACACGGTGAAACCCCGTGTATACTAAAAATACACAAAAATTAGCCGGGCGTGATGGTGGGCGCCTGTAGTCCCAGCTACTCAGGAGGCTGAGGCAGGAGAATGGCGTGAACCAGGGAGGTGGAGGTTGCAGTGAGCCGAGGTCTCGCCACTACACTCCAGCTTGGGTGACAAAGCGAGACTCCATCTCAAAAAATTAAAAAAAATAAATAAATTATAGCCTTTCCATTTGTATAAAAAGAGGAGTAATATATTAAGAACATAATAAAAAGTGTCTCTAATATCATTGAAATCTTTATTAAAATTTTCTTCTAAATGCTCTTTATGGGAGATTATAATGTATTTGTTGTGCAATTTTGTTACTCTAACCATATGCTAAGAATTCAAAATCTGCTCTTTATGGGAGCCCAGTTATGGTTGAACATGCTAGTTATCTGGAAAGAGTCTTCTTCCGTTGCATGCTTTGTTTATTCGGTATTTCACAGGCTAATGTTTATTTAATTTTATTTTCTAATATTATATATTCTTGTATTTCCTTGTTAGGATAGGCTGCCTTACATTATTTAATTGTGTTTTTAGATTCTGCCTATATATTATAATTTTGTATGACTATATTCAACTGTGTACAGTTGAATATGAATCAGTCAAATATGAATCAACCACACGTCTATTGCCAACATAATTCTCTGTTCATTTGCTTGTATAAACATTACTCATACTTTATTTATGACTTGTGTATTTGTTTAATTAGTTGGTGGTCAATTATTTTTTTAATCCTCTCTGGGTGAGTAGTTGTGGAAATTGTCTTAATTTCCACTTCTATATATTAATGAATCTATATTACTTTTGTGTTGAAGGAAACACTTCTGTGATTTGAAGTTAATTTTTTTTTACCTCTGAACTTTTTACTGGCCTCCTGCTCCCCAAAGGGACCTTGCTTCTGATGGCTTAGCACAACAAAAAGTCTGTATTGTTGGTCTCAGACACCACTTTCCCGTCCACTATCCTGCGGGGGCTGTTCTTTTGGATAGCTTGCAGGTATTTACTGCTGTCCAGAGCATCCAGGAGATTGAAATCCTCCCCGTCTTCTAGCAGGCGGCAGTAAGTGGCAATCTCAGCCTCCAGCTCGACCTTGATGTTCCACAGGTCCTCGTGCTCTTGGGCGTGGTACCTCTCTTCCCGGTTTTGGGATAGCTCTGACTCCAGGTGCAGCAGGATCCTGTTGAGCTGCTCCATCTGCGTCTACCTCCCTTAGGCTGTTCTCCAAGCTGACTTTCAGATATCTCATTGAGTCCAGTTCGATATCCAAGGACTGGACTGTACATCTCAACCCCCTGAGCATCCTCTCAGCAGCTCCGATCTCAGCGGACTGCATGGTGACTACTCTGGTGCTCTCCTCAGTCTGCTGGGACCAGTACTTGTCCAGCTCCTCTCAGCTGTTCTCAGCCATCTCGTCATATTGGGCCCAGATGCCTGTCATGATCTTGCCAAGGTCCTGAGACTTGGGGACATCTACCTCCATGGTCAACCAAGAGCTGGAAATCAGGTATTATAGACCTTTAACTTCCTCCTCATGATTCTTCATGAAGAGCAGCTCTTCCTTGAGGGCCTCCATCTCTGTCTCCAGCAGAGGCTGACTGACACTGGTGTTATCAGTAATGTCGCACTCCACAAACTGGCACATGGCCAGGTCTGTCTCACACTTTAAAGTCATCAGCAGCAAAATGATCATTGTCAGTCTGCAGGATGATGCAGGCACTGTCTGCAGCAGTGGCAAAGATTTTTTTATTAGTCTAATTGTCTGTCTTTATGCTAGTAACATAAGATTTTGATTACTGTAGATTTCTAACATGTCTTGAAATCAGGAATTGTAATGCTTCCAACTTTTTTTATGTGGTCCCCTGAAATTCCGTATACTTTGGGGAGTCACATTCTCTGTTTCTGTCAAAAATAATATTAAGAATTTCATAGGGATTGTATTAAATCTGCAGCTCACTTTGGGCATTATAGACACGTTCAAAATATTAAATTTTTAACTCTTGAACAAAAACATGTTGAAGAATAAATTGTTTAATTATCATGTATTTGTGAATTTTATGAATTTTCTTCGGTTATTGATTTCTAGTTTTAATCCATTTTGGTCAGAAATTATAGTCTGTAGCCTTCAGTTTTTATTATACTTTAAGTTCTAGGATACATGTGCAGAACGTACAGGTTTGTTATACAGGTATACATGTGTTATGTTGGTTTGCTGCACCCATCAACTCAACATTTACATTAAGTGTTCTCCTAATGCTATCCCTTTCATAGCCCCCCACCCCCAAACAGGCACTAGCGTTTGATGTTCCCTGTCCTGTGTCCACATGTTCTCATTGTTTAACTCCTACCTATGAGTGAAAACATGCAGTGTTTGTTTTTCTGTCCTTGTGATAGTTTGCTGAGAATGATGGTTTCCAGCTTCATCCATGTCCCTGCAAATGACATGAACTCATCCTTTTTTAAGGCTGCGTAGTATTCCATGGGGTATATGTGTCACAATTTCTTAATCCAGTCTATCATTGATGGACATTTGGGTTGGTTCCAAGACTTTGCTATTCTGAACAGTGCCACAATAAACATACGTGTGCATGTGTTTTTATAGTAGCATGATTCATAATCCTTTGGATATATACCCAGTAATGGGATTGCTGGGTCAAATGGTATTTCTGGTTGTAGATACTTGAGGAATTACCACACTGTCTTCCACAGTGTTTGAACTAATTTACACTCCAACCCACAGTGTAAAAGCGTTTTTGTTTTTCCACGTCCTCTCCAGCATCTGTTGTTTCCTGACATTTTAATGATCCCCATTCTAACTAGCGTAAGATGGTATCTCATTGTGGTTTTCATTTGCATTTCTCTGATGACCAGTGATGATGAGCAATTTTTCATGTCTGTTGGTTACATAAATGTCTTCTTTTGAGAAGTGTCTGTTCATATCCTTTGCCCACTTTTTGATGGGATTGCTCGTTTTTTTCTTGTAAATTTGTTTAAATTCTTTGTAGATTCTGGATGTGAGTCCTTTGTCAGATGGGTAGATTGCAAAAATTTTCTCCCATTCTGTAGGTTGCCTGTTCACTCTAATGATAGTTTCGTTTGCTGTGTAGAAGCTTTTAAGTTTAATTAGATTTCATTTGTCTATTTTGGCTTTTGTTGCCATTGTTTTTGGTGTTTTAGTCATGAAGTCTTTGCCCATGCCTATGTCCTGAATGGTATTGCCCAGGTTTTCTCTTAGGTTTTTATGGTTTTGGGTCTTACATTTAAGTCTTTAATCCATCTTGAGTCAATTTATGTATAGGGTGTAAGGAAGAAATCCAGTTTCAGTTTTCTGCATATGGCTCGCCATTTTTCCCAGCAACATTTATTAAATAAGAAATCCTTTCCCCATTGTTTGTTTTTGTCACATTTGTCGAAGATCCAATGGTTGTAGATGTGTGATGGTATTTCTGAGGCCTCTGTTTTTTTCCATTGCTCTATATATCTGTTTTGGTACCAGTACCATGCTGTTTTTGTTACTGTAGACCTGTAGTATAGATTGAAGTCAGGTAGTGTGATACCTGCAGCTTTTCTCTTTTTGTGTAGGATTTTCTTGCCTATGCAGGCTGTTTTTTGGTTCCATGTGAACTTCAAAGTAGTTTTTTCCAATTCTGTGAAGAAAGTCAGTGGTAGCTTGATGGGGATAGCATTGAATCTGTAAGTTATCTTGGGCAGCATGGTCATTTTCATGATATTGATTCTTCCTTTCCAGGAGCATGGAATGTTCTTCCATTTGTTTGTGTCCGCTTTTATTTCATGGAGCAGTGGTTTGTAGTTCTCCTTGAAAATGTCCTTCACATCCCTTGTAAGTTGGATTCCTAGGTATTTTATTCTCTTTGTAGCAATTGTTGAGTGGGAGTTCACTCATAATTTGGCTCTCTGTTCATCTGTTATTGGTGTATGGAAATACTTGTGATTTTTGCACATTATTTTGTATCCTGAGACTTTGCTGAAGTTGCTTATCAGATTTAAGGAGATTTTGGGCTGAGACAATGGGGTTTTCTAAATATACAATCATGTCATCTGCAAACAGAGACAATTTGGCTTCCTCTTTTTCCTAATCGAATGTCCTTTATTTCTTTCTCTTGCCTGATGGCCCTGGCCAGAACTTCCAATACTATGTTGAGTGGGAGTGGTGAGAGAGGGCATCGTTGTCTTGTGCTGGTTTTCAAAGGGAATGCTTCCAGGTTTTGCCCATTCTGCATGATATTGGCTGTGGGTTTGTCATAAATAGCTCTTATTATTTTCAGATGTGTTCCATCAATACCTAGTTTATTTAGAGTTTTTATCATGAAAGGCTGTTGAGTTTTGTTGAAGGCCTTTTCTGCATCTATTGAGATAGTCATGAGATTTTTGTCATTGGTTCTGTTTATGTGATGAATTATGTTTATTGATTTGCATATGTTGAACCAGGCTTGCATCCCAGGGATGAAGCTGAATTGATCGTGGTGGGTAAGCTTTTGGATGTGCTGCTGGATTTGGTTTGTCAGCATTTTATTGAGGATGTTTGCATTGATGTTCATCAGGGATATTGTTTTTTTGTTGTGCTTCTGCCAGGCTTTGGTATCAGGATGATGCTGACCTCATAAAATGAGTTAAGGAAGATTCCCTCTTTTTCTCTTGATTCGAATAGTTTCAGAAGGGATGGTAGCAGCTCCTCTTTGTACCTCTGGTAGAATTCCGTTGTGAATTCGTCTGGTCATGGACTTTTTTTGGTTCATAAGCTATTAATTATTGCCTCAATTTCAGAACCTGCTATTGGTCTACTCAGAGATTCAACTTCTTCCTCGTTTAGTCTTGGAGGTGTGGATGTTTCCAGGAATTTATCAATTTCTTCTAGGTTTTCCACTTTATTTCCGTAGAGGTGTTTATAGTATTCTCTGATGGTAGTTTGTATTTCTGTGGGTTTCGTGGTGATATCCCCTTTGTCGTTTTTTATTGCGTCTCTTTGATTCTTCTCTCTTTTCTCCTTTATTTGTCTTACTAGTGGTCTATCTATTTTGTTAATCTTTTCAAAAAACCGGCTCCTGGGTTGATTGATTTTTTGAAGTGTTTTCTGTAACATTCAATTTTTTTTAATTCTGTTAAAAAATTTTTTTCCTTATATTTATTTTTAGGACAATGTTTTATGAGCTTTTGACAAGACTGTGAGTTTTGTTGTTGTGTAGAGTGATCTCTATGCATCTGTTACATCTAACTGTTTTACAGTATTTTCATGTCCTCTGTTTTCTTCTTAACATTCTCTCTGGCTTTATTATTAATTACAGAACTGGTGTATTAAAATATTGTTCTCAGTATATTGCAGTTTTTTGTTTATGTTCTGACAAAATATTATTGATTTATTTTAAAATCTTCATGTGAGGTTCATATATATGTGTGTCTGTATACATAATTAGATAAATACACACAATTATATAAATGTATATTATATAAATGTATATAATTTTCCTAGGTTTCCAGTGAATAAACTTTTTTATTATTTTGTCCTTTGTTTTCTTTGACAGTTTTAACTTATAATTTATTTTATAAACTAAGACAGTTATTTAAAAAGTATTTTGCATAATGTGCTCGTGACGTTGTCTTCATTTCATTACGATTTGCATAAAATTGTTTTGATGCATCTTGCCACTTTTAGTCTGTTTTTGTTACTATATAGTAAGATGGCTCATATCTGTCATCCGAGCATTTTAGGAGATTGAGGTGGGAGGTTAACTTGAGCCCAGAAGTTTGAGACCAGCCTGGGAAACAAAGCAATACCATGTCTCTAAAATAAATAAATAAATAAATAAATTGAATCCCCTGTAGACAGATGTAGTTAGATTTTATTTTATTTTTTATCTCTGTACTCTATTTATGACTTTTGTTTGAGAAGTTTAGTTTGTGAGTAGCTACATAATTTCCTGCATTTGAAGGAATTACTTTTGACACTTTTTGGAGTAAAAGGTAAATATTAAATTTGAACTAAATTGGACATGGACTCAAACAATGGTCACCAAGTCCCGGAACAGGTTGTGTGAGCCCCTTGAAGCCCTCATCCAGCGCTGTTTCAGATAAATCTCTATTTCAATTTATTCCTATATCTTAGTTATTGAAAAACAATAGACAATCAAAAAAACAAGTTGACCTTTTTGTGTTCCTTGAGCCCCGTTGTGAATAGCCTTCCTGACCGGACTTCATGCCAAATAACTCATTACAAAAAGAGCTGGGGTTCCAGACTGCGCCAAAGCTTCATGAGATCTCACGTTGTCTGTGGACGGATGAGTGGCCAATCTGGAGCCCAGGCTGTTGCTTCACAGTCTTGTGGTGAATCCTCCATAGTTTGGTGAGTTTAAATATATATATATATCTTTTCCCTTCTCCCCGTCCCATTGCAACTTGCTTATATATTTGCTTATTATATCTGCATTGCCATTTAAGTGGGATAAAGTTTGTTTGAATCACTGGCTGTGCGTGAGGTGCAGCAGGGAGTCCCAGTTGGTAATTGTAATGCTGAGGGAATTTCCCAGCATTGATGATGCTTGCTTACTTCTTATAAGTTAAAGTGTCAATGTAGGGACTGGTTGTTACAAGAGAAATGTAAGCTGGAAAAGGAAAATTTTAATCTGACTTCCAGACTGACCCTGGTACCATGCCAGGCCTGTCTTGACTGATCAGGCTCAAAGCTATCAGCCTATTGCTGAAAAAGCAGCTGTCCGAGTTGCCCAGTCAGGGTAAAACTGAATAACTAGTCAGTTTTCAGGGCAGAAGAGGGTAAAAACCCAAATCCTATCTCAAGGATGGGAAGTTAACTCTAATAAAATTCAATGGCCTGCACAAAGTGTAAAGTTCCTTGGCATCCTATGGACTGCAGGGAAACAGTCCATTTTACCAAAGGCTAACGCTAAAATACTAGAATTTGCAGCCCTACCACTGAAAAGGAGGTCCAAAATTGTATTGGCTTGTTTGGATTCTGGAGACATCATATTCCCCACTTGGGTAACATATTACAACCTCTGCATGCAGTCACTAGAAAACACTATGAATATCACTGGAGAGAGAAAGACAGCCTGGCTTTTCAACAAGCAAAACAAGCTGAGCAACTGGCCCTGGATCTATGGCCCTTATAGGATGAGTCAACAGAACTGCAAGTAACTGTCCTACATCAACATGCTAATTGGAGCCTTAGGTAGAAACAAGATGGGAAGAAGATACCTTTGGAGTTTTAGACCCAGAAGCTGCCAGAGGCTGGCAAAGCTTATACTCTTTGAGAAGCAGCTGTTGGCCTTCTACTGCGCTTGAAGGAAGCAGAACACCTTTGTTTTAATCATGATGTTTTTATGAGGCCCCAAATTCCTATTATGACTTGGGTCATGAGCTCCCTCAAAACCCATTGGATAGGGTACACTCAAGAATGTAGTATCATAAAATGGAAATGGTACATACAAGACCAGGATAAGCCAGAACTAAAAGCGGTATCATTTTTACTTGAAGATGTGCAAAACTTGCCAACTCAGGAAACCACAGGGCAAGTCCTGCATATAGGGAAGGAAACCTCCCCTGCCCAATGGGGCAAATCCTTTAAAGAACTAAGCCCAGAGGATCAGAAACACGCTTGGTTACTGATAGTTCCACCAAATACATTGATGGGACCTGATGCTGGGAGGCCGTGGCTTATAATCCTGTTAAAAACATAAGCGTTTCTGATGAAGGGAGGGGTGTGAGCAGCCAGCTGGCTGAACTAGAAGCCATCCTCCGAACTATTCAGGAGGAGGCCAGAGCAATTTGTTGCTTGTATACCGACTGTTGGTCAGCAGAAAATGGTCTTACTACCTAGTTGCCCGAATGGCAATGAAACAAATAGTGAATAATGAATAAAGAGGTTTGGAGAAAACAATACTAGGAAGATACCTGAATCCTGATGCACATTACTATTATTGCTGTTTTTCATATTGATTCTCATGCATCTCTGCATTCTCTTGACAGACTAAACAGCAGGTAGATCAACAGGCCAAAATTTCCAGCATAAATGCAAACTTGAATGTGGGTGAATGGATTACAACACATTCAAGCCTGGCGATGAGACACATTATAATGTATGGTGGTATAATTGATAATGATTACCAGGAACAGTTAAAGTTCACTTTACACAATACCACTCCACATTCTTTTGTTACAAGACCGCAGATTCGGGTTGCTCAATTGTCAGTGGTACCTGGTACCTTGTTAACAATTAACCCCTGAGGAAATCTCTGCCCCAACAGAGGCTACGTACAGAACTGGGAAATTAAGATCCACTGGTATAGGTAGCTTAAATCCTGGAACGAAAATATGGATACAGCCTCCATCAGATCCCGCCCCTAAGGCTGTGACCTTGTAGGTATGGGAGCAGAAAATAAAAGGGTAGTACAGTTTCCTAAAAATGAAAAACAATATTATGTTCCCCTTCAGTTTTGTTGTTACAGAGAATAACCTGTCTACTAGTAATCAGTACCTGGGTCATCAGGTCTGAGGTGGAGAGTGAATTCATCAACTGGGCAGCAACCACTGCGACAGAAGCTAACCGCAGTCAATGCTGGCTATGCATCAAATTGCCAGAGGCCACAGGAAATGGACTGCCTTGCAGAGTTGTCCTTGCCAATATTTCTGAATGGCTCTGTCACTACAAATGGGGCCAAAACAACAACACTTGCAATCCAACCTGGACTTCCTTTGCTACTTTAATAACATCTTAATACACTATAATTGTAGTATAACCATTGCTGTCCCCTGGGGGGCCCTCTGGGTATGCAGACCCTATGGGTGGCCTATCTGCCCCCTTATTGGATGGGGAGATTCACTTGGGGGTGCCATTAATTCCATTCACCATCCGGGATAATATTCCCTTCCCCAATAATCTAGATGCTTACAAAGGTAGCTGGTTATGAACGTGCCAGACTCCCTGGTGGTGGAAAACTATCACAGTATTCTCCCTTGCCCCTCGTACAATCCTGCTTCAGCAACAAATTAAAATATTAAGTCCACATATAGTAAAAGCTCCTAAGATAGTAGCACTGGACTTCTGTTGTTATCAGAAGAACTTGTTCAGCTGTGTACTGTTGTGTTGCAAAATCGAATGGCATTAGGTATGTTTACCGCAGCCCAAGGAGGGGTTTGAGTCTTGCTGCATTCTGAATGTTGTGTGTATCCCTGACAGTTCTCGCAGTATTACTCTCCTTGCCGAAGACATGCAAGGACAAGTAAAACAGTTAGAATCTAACCATCAGGACCCCATCATGGACTGGCTGTCAAACTAGCATTGGCGTTGGCCGTGGTGGGTGTGGTTTCTATTAATTGTGCTTTTAATTCTCCTCTGCTCTATCTGTAATCTATACCAGTTGTGACTTCCCCGTATAACTGTAAAAATATTTTCCTATGATTCAGTGTCAAATTGAGGCTGAATGAGGAGGAAAAGTTAAATATTAAATTTGAACTCAATGAACATGGACAGAAACAATGGTCACTAAGTCCTGGAACAGGTTGTGTGAACCCCTTGTGGAATTCATCCAGCACTGTTTCTGAGAAATAGTTATTGAAAAACAACAGAAAATCGCAAAAACAAGTAGGCCTTTTCGTTTTCCTTGAGTCCAGTCACGAAGGGCCCTTGTGAGTGGGCCTCATGCCGAACAAATCGTTACAAAAAAAGCTATGGTCCCAGACTGTGCTGAAGCTTAATGAGACCTCTCCTTGTCTGTGCAGGGGTGGGTGGCTGACTCTGGAGTCCAGGCTGACGCTTTCCTATAGGCAAAGCTCAGGGAACAGAGGAGAGTCACATCAAATAGTTGATGAGTCAAGAGATATGTCACAGGGACTCCTGTATGCAGGGTCCAGACAGGAAATCCACATCGTTTTGGTGCTGAGCCCAGCAATATATTACAATGTCTTCTGAGGGAAGAACCAAGGCAAAAAATTAATGTCACTTTGGTGTTAAGCCCAGTGATACATCACAATTTCCACTGCAGGAAGAACCTAGGCAGAAGAGAATAGTTACATCAGCTAGATGGTGCCACCATTGATATGTCACAATCTCCACTTGAACAGGAATCAGTCAGCAGAAGCAAGTCACATCACCTGAGTGATGGGTGCAGAGATAAGTCACAATGTCCCCTGTAGGCAGAGCACAGAAAGGAGAGCTGCATAACCTGGGTGTTGGACCCAGCAATATAGCTTATATGGTAGACCCCTGGCAGAAAAATTACAAAACATGGGTGCAGCACCAAGTATATGTTATAATGTCCCCTGTGAGCAGCACCAAGGCAGGACAGGAGACTCGCATCACTTGGTTGCTAAGACAAGTGATCTGCTACAATCTTCTTTGTAGGCAGGGTGCACACACTTTTTTTAGGTGGTGAATGCAGAGAGATGTCCCAAGGCCCCCTGTGAACAGGGCTCAGGCAGTAGCCATCAATTCCCTAGGTATTATGCCCAGCAGTATGTCACAATATACAAAATATGCAGGGCCCAGGGAAAAGAGGAGAGTCACATCATGTGGGTGCTTGTCCCAGTGATTTGTTACAATCTCTCTTTTTGACAGGACCCAGGCAGAAGAGGGGGGTCATAGGTGCTGGGTTCAATAATGTCACAATTTTATCATGGGCTGGGCTACGCAGAAGAGTCAAGTCACTCACGAGCTGGGCCGAGATATATTTCACAGTTATACCTCCAGGAAAGTCCAGGGCTGAGACTGACAATCCTGCACATGTCCCATATCTAGGTGTGAGAGCAAACACATTGTGTTTGTTGGGTCTAAGTGTAGAAGTCACAGTCTCAATGGTGCACTGGATCTGTGCATGGCAGCTTCAGTCTTTCCCGAGGACCGTGGCCCCTTAATGGAGTCACAGCCTCACGTGTTTGCTGAATGTTGGTTTTAGAGTCACTGACTCAAACATGGATCGCATCCACTTATGAGAGTCAATTATTCATCTCTCAACCGCCTCCAGGTGTGAGATTTGGAACCTCAACAATGGGCTGTGTTCATGTGAAAAGATGACAATTTTTACTCTTGGCTCAGCGTAGATATGAGTGTCACAATCTACTTTTGTTCTGGGCCCTGTCAGGACACTCTCTTCACCATATGCAGCCTTTATAGAGTATGCATGAGTGTAACAATTCTCTCTGAAACCTTAAGCAGGCACGGACCCCTCCTTGTACCTTTAGCTTTAAGCCCTGGTATGACAGTCAACATCTTTCTACTTGGATGGGTCCAAATAAGAGTTCTTAACTGCCTATGAGCTGCGTTTAAAAATGAGTCACCATCCCACCTGTGGCTGGATGTTCACATATGAAAGTCACAATCCCAGTTGTGGACTGTGTCTGCATGTGTAATTCAGGACCTCAAGAGTGGGCTCTCTCCACGTGTGATAGAGACCATCCTGAATATTGGTGTGGTGTGCATCTGAGAAGTATAATCTCACCAGTGTGGCGAGCCCTGTGGTGACAATTTCTCTACCATAGTTTACACAATATGCAAGACAGTGGTACTCCTCCGTGTGACGTATCACTGGGCCTTGCACACAGGTAATGTGAGTCTCCTCTCCTGCCTTGGAACGCTCACAGGAGGCATTGGGTCATACCACTGAAGCTGATATTCAGGTTATGTGCCTGTCTTTCCTGTGCTCTGTCCATGGGCTTTTGTGACATATTTCTGGGTCCAAAACACAGGTGACATAACTCTCCTGTCTGAACTCTGCCTAGAGAGGGCATGGTGGCATATCTCTGCACCAGCCACTAGATGATGTGACTCTATCTTCTGTCTAGTCTCTGCCTACAGGGTGAATTGTGACTTATCACCCGGCGCAGCATTTAGCTAATGTGACTCTTCCCTTTTTTCAGGTTCTGCCCTCGGGGGAGATTGTGACATATCGATTTGTAAAACACCAAAATGATTTTACTCTTTTATCTTGGCTCTGCCCTCAGAAGGCTTTGGGATATATTGCTGAACAAGCACCAAGGTAATGTGATTGTCCTACCTGAACCCTGCCCACAGGGAGCATTGTGACATATCTCTGAGCCCATGAACTATTTGATATGGCTCTATTCTCTTACCTGGGCTTTCGCCATGAGAAAGATTGTGAAGTATTTCTTGGTCCAGTGCTTAGGTAATGTGATTCTCCTCTCCAGCCTGAGACATGCCCACAGAAGTAAGAGTGACATCTCTGGGCCTAGCCCACAGGTGATGTGAACCTTATCCCTTGTTTCTGCCCAGGGGAGTCATTGTGATGTATCTCTGAGACCATTATTAGAATGATGTGACTCTCCTGTTCTTACTGCGACCTGTCCACAGTGGGGATGATGATGTATCACTTAGGCCAGCACATATGTGGTGTGACTCTCTTTTCATGCCTGTGCCCTGCCCCCTGGGTTAATTGTGACATATAACTGGGCCCCTCCCATAGGTTATGCAACATATCCCTGTGATAACACTCTTTGTACCATTTAAGAGCTTTATATAATATGAGAGAGTTGTATTCCTCTAAGACCTTCATACAAAACGAAGAGTTAAGACCTACCGGTTTTCCAAAGCCTCCCTATGAAAAACAGTATTTCTCTTAGTGGCAGGTTTGAGGTATGAGAGTCATTATTACACCTGTGAGCTGGCCAAGATATATGTTTCAATCTCTTCTGTGGGAAGGGAGTGAGCAGGAGAGTCACGTCACCGGGATGCTTGGCCTGAGATCTGTCAATATCTTCCCTGATGGCAGGGAACAGGTAGGAGAGTCACATACCTAAGGCTGGGCCAGGGATATGTAACAATGTTTTCTGAGGTCAGAGGCTAGGAGGGGAGTCCCATCACTTGTGTGCTCACAGGGGATATGTTACAATCCCCTCCTGAAATCAGAGTACAAGCAGCAGAGTCAAATCACCTGAATATTGAGCTCAGTGATATGTCACCACACTCCCTGTGGGCAAGGCCATAGCAGGAGAGAAACATCACCTGATTACTGATTACTGGGCCCAGTGATATGTCAGAATCTTTCCTGTGGGCAAGGTGCAGGCAGAAAGGAGAGTCACATCATCTGGTGTTGGAAGCAGAAATATGCTACAAGGCTCACTGTGGACAGAGTTCAGGCAGGAGCCTCTAATCTCCTAGGTGTTAAGTTCAGTGATACGTTACAATGCTCCCTGTGGGCAGCACGAAGTCAAGAGAATAGAGCCACATCACCTATGTTCTAGGTCCAATGATATGTCCCAATTTTATTTGTGAGCTGGGCTTAAACAGAAGAGTCTAATCACTCAGGTGCTGGACAAATGTGTATGCTTGTCACAATGACACCTGCAGGAAAGTCCAGATATGGGATGAATCCCGCACATATTCTGGTTTTATGCATGAGAGTGAACACCTTCTGTATGTTTGATCTAAGTACACAAGTCACTATCTCAATAGTGGACTAAATTTGTGCATGGCAGCCCCATTTTCTCTTGCGTACTTTGTCCCCTAATTGAAATCACAGCTTCCTAGGTGTGCTGACTCATGATCTGAGAGTCATCAACACATCTGTGACTCTCAAATATGAGAGTCAATTTTTCAACTTTTCAATCTGCCTTTGGGTATGGGATTCAGAGCCTCAAAAGTGAACTATGATCATGTGAAAGAACGACAATCTTTAATGTTGGCTGGGTGTGCATCCCAATGTCATTATATTACTGTGTGCTGAGCCCTATTAGGACTTTCTGTGTTGCACCTGACGGCTTTATGTTGTATGCATGACAGTCTCAATTCTTTCAGAGATTTTCATGCTGGTATGGACCCATGATCAAACCTGTGGCCCTAAGCCTATATATGAGTCAACATCTTTACAATTGGCGGGGTCCAGATAAGAGAGTCATCAGCTTTCTATGCGCTGGGTTTATAACGAAGTTCCCATTCCAACTCTGGCCAGATCTTTACATATGAGATTCGCAATTCCAACTATAAACTGCATTCATGTGTGAAATTCAGGACCTCACCAGTGGGTTCTGTTTATATGTGAGGGTGAAAATCATAATGGTCAGGAGGGTTCAGGGTGCGCATAGGAGTAACAAATTTCACCTGTGTGCTGGGCCCTGTGATAAGACTCTCTACCACCTGAGGACTTTCTGTAATATATGAGAGAGTGGATGATCTTAGCGAGGAGACCCAGGGTTTTTTTTCATTTCCCTAAGTGTAGCTAGGAGAAGCAGTATCTCTTCTATTGGCTGGTTTGACATATGAATGTCATCATTGCACCTGTGTGTTGTGTTCCAAGATATATGTAACAATTACACCTGCATATAGGAAGAGAGCAGGAGAGTAAAATCAGTTGGATGCTGGGTCAGTGATATGTCGCTTCCCTGAGGACAGGGACCAGTCAACAGTCACATTACCTGAATGTTCAGGCATTGGTATGTTGCAATCCACTCCTCACATTAGGAACGAGGCAGCAGAGACACATCACCTGCATGCTGGATCTAGCAATATTTCACAATCCTCTCTGTGGTCAGGATGCAGGCAGAAGAGTCACATCTTCTTGGTGATGAATGCAGAAATATGTCACAAGCTTCACTGCACGTAAGGTAGAGGAATAAACCTCTTATTCCCTAAGTGTTGGGCCCAGGGATATGTCACAATACCCAAAATATGCAAACCCAGGCAAAAGAGAACAGTCACATTACCTTGGTGTTAGGGTCAGTGATATGTCACAATCCCCTCTTTTGGAAGGGCCCAGGTAAGAGTGGAGAGTCACATCGCCTAGGCAATGAATAGAAGAGTATGTCATAATACCCCTGTTGGCAAGACCTATGCAGAAGAGTCACATCACCTATGTGTTCAACCCAGATATATGTTACTGTACACCATGTATGCAGGGCCCAGGCAAGAGAAAAGGCCACATCACCTCGGTTCTGGGCCCAGCAATATATCACAATTCCCCCTAAGAGGAGGTAACAGACAGCAGAGTCACATCACCTAAGACTGAGGAGCAGAGCTATATGGTAGTTCCCTGTGTGTGTGGGCCCAAAAATAGAGGAGAGTTACATCACCTGAAGACTGTACCCAGCTATAAGTCTTAATCACCCCTGTGGCCAGCACCCAAGCATGAGAAGAGAGTACCATCATGTAGGTGCTGTGCCAGGCTGTATTTCACAATCTCCACTATGGATAGGTTTCAGGGGGAAGAGGAGCATTACATTATCTAGTTGATGAGTCTAGAGATATGTCAAAATGACCCCTCTGGAGACACCAGGATGCAGAATCACATGACCTGTGTGCTGGGTCTAGGAATAACCCACTCTCCCTTCTGTAAACATGGCCATGGCAGAAGATGAGGGTCACATATTTAAGGTGATGAACACGGAAAGATTTCACAAGGCTCCCCATAGGCAAGACCCAGGCAGGACTTTCCCTTCCCTCAGTTGTTGGGAGGAGAAATACATCACAATGTGGGGCTCAAGCAGAAAACAAAAGAAATATCCCCTATTTTCAGGGCTCAGAATTATGTCACAATCTCTCCTATGGGCAAAGCCTTTGTTAAAAAAGGAGAATCTTGTCAAATAGTTGATGGGCTCAGAGATATGTCCCAATGCCATATGTTACAAATTGCTGTAGGCAGGCTTCAGGCAGGAGACTCACCTTGGTGTTGGGCCCAATAATGTGTCACAGTGCTTTCTGCTTGCAGAGCACAGTCAACAGAGTAATGTCACTGAGAAGTTGGACCCACCAATGTATCACAATCTCCTTCCAAACAAATCCTAAAAAACAAAAGAAGAGTAACATGAGATAGGTGCTGGGCACAGTGATATGTCACAATCCTTTCTTTAAGCAGGGACTAGGCAGGAGAAGAAAATCACGCCACATGGGTGATGGGCTCATAGATATTTCACAATGTCCCCTTAGGCAAAGCTCAGGAAGGAGAGGTAAATCATCTAGGTTTTGGATGCAACAATATGTCAAAATGGCCATTGTGGACTGGGCACAGGCAGAAGAGTCACATAACATGGATGTGGGACCCAGCAATACATCACAACACCCCTGTGAGTAGCACTAATGCAAGGCAGAAAACATACATTACCTAGGTGCAAGGCCAAGTGATATGTCCCAATGTCCCCTGTGGGCAGCACCAAGGCAGGAGATAAGAGTCACATCATTTAGGTGCTGGCTTCAGTGATATATCAGAATCCCATCTGTGAGCTGGACACAGGAAACAGAGCTAAAACACTCAGGAGCTGGGCAGAGATGTATGTCACAATCCCACCTGCAGAAAGCGACAGGGATGAGATGAACAACTCCACACATGTCCGGATTCCAGGTATGAGAATTTGTATGTTTGGCCTAGGTACAACAGTCCCAATCTCAACAGTGAACTGGATTCATAAATGAGTCTTCTCTGGCTGAGAAGAACTTCTCCCCTTAGGAGAGTTACAGTCTCACAGATGTAATGAATTTTGGTTTGAGAGTCACCCACCTACCTGTGGACAAGATC